>NC_000001.11:237093212-237244727 GCF_000001405.40 Homo sapiens
CCAAGTAGAGGGAATAACAAGCCGAGAACCTGATGGGAGGCTCCCTGAAGGACATGTTGTAGTGACATTGGCTGGGACACGACCTCAGAAGCCCATAGTGATGGTGGGCTAGGGGAGGAGCTGAGAAGAAACTGAGACTTTCAGGAAAACTTGAGAATAGAAATAGAGGGCAGATGATTTATTCATGACATGGAGCTGCCCGGGCAGTCACCTGGGAAAGAGATGTCAAATATGGGAGATCAAGGACAGCACAGAGGAACAGTGACAGGAGCAGGAGCCCCAGGGGGCTTCTGCAAGAGAGTCCAGGCTGACCCTGGCCTGGGCTCAGGTGACTGGAAGAGAGCAGTTTCATCCCTGAGGACTTAGACCTTTGTTTCTCTAGGACCACAGGCTCTGGATGAAGTGATCAGCCCTGGATGGAGGTGGAAGGAGAAATAAGCATTGAGCGGAGGGAGTTAGGAAAATCTCAAGGACCCTTAGAAATTGGATCTTAATGAGCAGCTAGAGTATTGGCAGGCGTGGGATCCCAGAGGCCAGAGAGATTAATCGATTCTTTTGCTTAGTGAAGTTAACAGTGATGCTTTTCCTGTAATTGAGATAATCTGTGTGCGGCCTGTGTTTCCTGGGGTTCTTCTCACGCTGCTGTGAATTAGGCCACCTTGAACAGCTGACTGAACGTGGCAAACCAGAGTGGTGCAGCGCAGGCTGTGGGCAGAGAGTCGAGGGGAAGCAGGAGTCCTGGGTATTTGGACGATGGATGCCTGAACCCTAGGCAGTGGCGACAGGAAGAGAGAAGGCAGGCAGCTGGGAGAGCAGGCCCGGAGCCTCTGTTTGGAAGGGCCAGTGGGGCAGGCGAGCTGGCCTGACTCCCTTCTTCGAGTCCTCCATTTCGACCTCTGTGCCTTTGCACAGATACATCTGGCTTTACAGATAGAGGTGTTCCTGGAAAAGGAAGTCAAATGAAACAGGAAAATCTATGTTCAGCTTACATGCACTTAAGGGGAAGCTCGCTATATGTAGGAAGCCTGTGGTTATTGCTAATAATTGCCACCAATTTATTGGTTCTATGGGGGCTCAGTTGTACCGTAGTTACACTTTAACTTCCTCTTTCTGTAGGATCTGTAAATGCTCTTAGGCGTTTTTAAAAGTGTGTATCACTCACCCACTAGGTAATGAAATCCTTATAAGCAAAAACCATAGTATCGTTTCTGTTTTTTTGGGACGGGCAGGGAGGATACTGTTTCTCCATGCAATCTTTGAATGCGAACATGCTTAATAAATATTGATGGACAGAAGTGACTTAATTTTTATCAAACTCTTCACAGTTTTATGAATGCATCATTTGTTTTGTCTTTATAAATATTATTATTATTATTTTTTGAGACGGAGTCTCGCTCTGTCGCCCAGGCTGGAGTACAGTGGTGCGATCTCGGCCCACTGCAAACTCCGCCTCACTGCAAGCTCCACCTCCTGGGTTCACGCCATTCTCCTGCCTTAGCCTTCCGAGTAGCTGGGACTACAGGCGCCCACCACCATGCCCAGCCAATTTTTTGTATTTTCGGTAGAGACGGGGTTTCACCGTGTTAGACAGGATGGTCTCAATCTCCTGACCTCGTGATCCTCCTGCCTTGGCCTCCCAAAGTGCTGGGATTACAGGTGTGAGCCACCGCACCCGGCCTTGTCTTCCTAAATATTATTAACAAACAACCCAAGCCTTCATATATCAATTGCTTCCTGGATGCCTTGCCCTGTGCTAAACATAGTGTGTGATTTATGTCATGTAAACCTCCAGCAACTTTATAGATGGGACTGAACTTTATAGATGTGACTTCTGAGGCTCAGAGAGGTTAAGTAATGTCTTCAGGTTATCGTTGCAAATTAAAATGTTGAAAATAAGACCATACATATGGTGAGCCTTTTCTCCCTTCAGTATTTTTTCCTAAAAGTGTTAGAGACAACAAAGGGCAGAGGGCATGTCAAAGGTATCTAAGACAAACTTTCTTTATTGAATCAACTTTGTCTTGGCTTCAACTGTGAAACTTGGATGATGTAATCTAGGGTTGGGTACCGTACATTTCTAGTCTCTGGGTCTTCCACTGAACACTGCTGTACCACACGCTTCAATGGTAGAGGGTTTCATGGCAGGGCCGTGCAGCACTGTTGTGACATAGACAATCTGGAAGTTACAGAACAACCACCCTCCCACGTATTTACAAAAAGTGTAACATTTCACTGGGATCGTGTCTGAAAGCACTCTGTAGCTGAAAAGTGCTATACAAAGCCAAAGGGTTATTTATCATAATTTTAGCTGACAGCAGCACTGCCGACATCTCTTTCTCACTCAAGGGAAGTACCCACAAGGCAAGCTACAGAGCATCCCCCTAGCCTGGTGACTGGAGATCAAGGAGCTAACCTTCAGTGTTCCGTCTGTGAGGAACACTTGCCATCTGTGAGGTTTTGGGAGATGCTGACAACCATCCATTTCCACAGAGTGGTCCCAGCTGGGGAGATTATATGCAAAGGAGACCTCTCAGAAAGCAAGGTGGCATGTAGTGGGCATGTGATAAGCTACTCACTGCATGGCTCAACATGGCTCAGGCAACAACTCAGGCAAGAGGATTCTGCAGAAAGAGAGATGGATGTCATCAGAATAGGCGGGGAAGTGGACTTGTGGTTGACCTTGAAGTCTGGGCATTCCAGGCTGGAGGGACAGCCTGGGCCCTGAGAAAACCACCTTCCACTGGAGCCATTCTACTAGAATAGTTTTCATTTCTCATGCAGAGGTCTGGTCTTCAAATAAATGATTCTGAAAAATTGGACTTAGAGACTATCACGGGAAAATGATGAAGGTCATAGCCTCTGGGATCCTGAAAATTGTTTGGGACTTTTATAGACTTTCACAGTCCTGGATTTCTGGGTGGGAGGAATAAAAACCGGATTGGACAGTGTCGTCCTTCAACAGAAGAGGCCTGACGTTAAGCAATGCCCTATTTCAAATACTTTCCACTGCAGAAAGAGTGCTGTCCAATTGCCAGTCTGGGAAATCTCTTCCTGGGCTTGTTTTGTTTTGGGATTAAATCACATGGAACTCTTTTCTTCAGCTCATGTTGTCATACTTGAGACACTGCTATTTCTTCCCTTTTATTTCTAAATTGTGAACCTTCTCCTTTTGTTTCAACCTAGAAATGTACACTTCTCGTTAATTGTTCTTATGAGAATGGTTTCTTTACAGCAATAGGTGGCGGATAACAAGACTGGAAACTTTGAGTACACAGGACCACACTGGTTTCAGTTCTAATTTTCCTAAGTGGCTTTGCTGAGGGAGGCAATATACATTGGTATATATTGGTATATATTTGGCAAGGGAATATACGTTGGTATCTTATTTTTCTAACCATAGTAATGGTATCTGGAATTGTTGTTGGCTTTTAGGCTAAGCCATTCATTATTTTTAACCTTCAGAAAAAAATTTGAAGATACTTAATTATAAAATAAAGGCTGCTCAGATTTTACCACTTGGACAAGAGATGAAAGTTCCAGAAGAGTACAAACTGAGCTGCTCTGGCATGTTCGGAACCTGTTTTCTATGACATAGTTGGTAGAGAGCAACATCTCATGCCCCCTATAAATCTGTGTGGGTGTGTCCAGGAGAGCTTGCCTCCTAAATTGTATTGAATTAGAAATCCTGCACCTTGAAGCAATTGGAATTGGTCTGTCCTGCAGGTCTTCTGTTGGAGTAGAGTCCCAAGAGAAAGCTGTGCAGTCGCCCATGTGATTTTAGTCTATTTTAGTCTTGCCTGTTTTTTCAAAACCTTACTGAAATTGGGGTTGACTAATGGCCTCCTTAAAATTGGATTTATTTTAGCTTGAATATGTATTTTCTCTTCTTTTTCAACTTCTAGATGGCATATATTCCAATGAATATGATTCAAATATTCCAATGCAGTACAGGATCCAAACTATGTCCCTTTGGTAGAGAAATAAATAGAGAGTGGAATTCTTTAGAGCTGCCAGATTGACCTTTTCCATCAACCACTAAACTGTCTGAAAAATGGTACAAATGGTACAAAGATTTAAGACCTTGAGTTAAAAGGGGGAAGAAACTGAGCTATATGAGTTAAAAGATCCAGGAGACTCTCTCCTGTTTGGTTGCTCATTCTTGTGTATTAATTTTTAATAAGGAAGTGAACCCCAGATGACAGAACTGATTTTCTTTTATTGGGTGACGGTTGAGATCTCCTATTGCTTAAATCAGGTTAAATAAGAGAGAATGCTGCTCTGTAAGTCTGGCCTCTGGGTCTCTGGTATATTTACAAAGATTTAAACGTAATACCTATTCCTGTTTCTCAGGCATCCTCATGACACCATCTTCCAGTATAGGAGACCAAAATGGATAAGATGAAAGCAAAACATCTTGTGTAATGCAATCAAAGCAACTTTAATTTTTTGGTTTCTGGCAAGGAGGATATGGGCTTAAGTAAAATACTCCATTGCACCGTTTCTGGGGATTTATGTTTTTAAACCAAGTATAATAATATTCCATGTACATCCACTACCAGTGATATTAGCTATTCCCAGTCCGTGTCACCCCCAGGGATGGAGTGGGCTGGAGACCTGGGGAGGGAGAAATCAAGCCTCATATGCTGTGATGTCTTGACAAGTGAGTGCCCCCAATCCTGTTGGCATTTGTGCTGCAGGAGTTTGGTTGATCAGATTTGTATTTTAGATAAATATATTAGGTCACAGTTTGAATTTCAAATTGCATGTCCTTTGCCATTTTTCTTTATTAAAATGTATGCATTAAAATTGTTATGCATGAAGACAAATATCAAGATTGACTGATGTTTTCCTCCCTATTAATTTCCCGTAGGAATGGTAAAAATGCAATTATTCATCTATGAAAATGGTGTTTAAGACCTTGAAAATGAAGAGAATTTGGAAAGCCACTTGTGCCATAAAATTTCTGAACACAGAAACGGGCCAGTGATTCAGTCGATATTGATTGATTGGTTGATTGATTTTAATTTCTTCTCCAGCTTTATTGAGGTATAATTGACAATTAAAAATTGCATATACTCAAAATGTACATATGATGTTTTGATTTCATTGTGAAATCTTTACTATAATCAAGCCAGCTAATATATCCATCACCTCACATAGTTGCCATTGTGTGTATGTGTGTGTGTGTGTGTGTGTGTGTGTGTGTGTGTGGTGAGACACTCAAGATGTACTGTCTTAGCAAATTTCAGGGGTACAATCCAGTATTATTAACATGCTGTCCATTATTCACAAAAGGCAAGATGAAGAAACAATCTAAGTGCCTAAGGCTGGATGAATGGATAAAGAAAATGTGGTATATATACACAGTGGAATAATATTCAGCCTTAAAAAGAAGGAAATCTGTCATTTGTGACAATGTGGGTAAACATGGTGGACATGATGCTAAGTGGAATGAGTCACACACAGAAAGACAAATACTGCATGATCTCACTTACATGTGGAATCTAAAAAAGTCAAACTCATAGAAGCAGAGAATGGTGTTTTCCAGGAACGTGGTGGAAAGGGAAATGAAGAGGTGTGGTCACAAGGATACAAAGTTTCAGTTGTGCAGGATGAATAAATTCTGGAGATGATTCAATCCTGACTGAAAGAGAAGTCCATGTGATTTAGAGCAGACTGTGCAAAATATTCAGCGAGGAGCTGAGACGGTCTCTTCCCCTGGCATGTCTCAGCTATCCTTGCCTCTGAATCGCATATGATGTGCACAAGTACAATGAGGAGGGCTCAGACAACCACTGCGCTTCTCACCTGCGGGGACAACAAGCCACCTTCTCCCGATAAATGAATGGGCTTTTAAAGATCATCTTTCAGCAGTGAGAAGGTAGTGTGAACGGAAAAAAAAAAACCCAGGAAATTCAATATCAGCATACATATAACATTTAAGTTAATTCAGCCCAGCTGGTCAGCAGAGGTTGCTGTTCTCGGTGTGTTCCAAGACCACAGATGGCAAGCCAGTCTTGATGGCTTTTTAAAAAAAATATTTGAGACAGGGTCTTGTTCTGTGACTCAGGCTGGAGTGTGGTGGCGTGATCATGGCTCACTGCAGTCTCAACCTCCCGGGCTCAAGCAATCCTCTTACCTCAGCCTCCCAAGTAGCTGGGACCATAAGTGCACACCACCATGCCTGGCTAATTTTTAAATTTTTCGTAGAGATGAGGTCTTGCTATGTTGTCTAGGTTGGTCCTGAACTCCTGGGCCCAAGCGATCCTCCCACCTTGGCCTCCCGAAGTGCTGGGTTTACAGATGTGAGCCACTGTACCCAGCCTCTCAATAGCCTCTTTGACAGCTCTTTGCCATTGGTTGCAAGATGAATCCAAGGGGAGGGCATAATGTACAAGGAAAAATGATAAATTAAAAATCCTACACTGTACTAGGAGATTGTTCCATACCACATGCCGCATGGCAGATCAATAGAACCTTCTTTTGCTATGAAAAACTACATTTTGAAACAAAAGTTTTAGTGTTTATTTGGGGCAGTGGAAAAAGAAGGAAGAGGTGAGTATTGAGTGCTAGGCACTAATCAAGTACTTACTCATTTAATCTTTCCCCAAATATTATGAGGTAGGCACTATTTTTTTTCACCAATTTACAAATGTGGAAACTGAGGCAGAGAGGAGTTTTGTAAATTTCCCCAGGTTAAGCTGCAGTTGGAAGCTGAACTGGGATATGAACCCAGCGGAGGGGCTCTGCAGCCGTGCCTTCCAGCTGCACAGTATCCTCGGTGCTGCCTCAGCTCCTGGGGCTAAGGTAAAGGCTCCCTCCTGCCTTCCAGGACCCTCCTGCCTGCCCTTGTTAACTTAGGTTAGAAATGGGTTAGCTTCTATTTTTCTTAGGTCTCTATTGGGACAAGCTTGGAGCTTTTAAAGGAAGGCTTACTAAAGAATAAGTGGGGGAAGTGGTAGGAAATGAGAAAAAAATAAAATGAAAAAGCAAAGAAATAGATGAGGTGAAAGAGCATGCATTTCCTTCCGTCACCTACACATTATTTACTAAGTCCCTCCTGCACATGGCTGGGCCTTCAAGGAGTTCCTGATCTGGGATGGGTGGACTCAATCTCGCTTCTCGATTCTCTCTTCTCTCTTCTTCTTCCTCTTCCTCTTCTTCTTTTTTTTTCTTTCCTCTCTCTCTCTCTCTCTCAGAGTCTCACTCTTTCACCCAAGCTGGAGTGCAGTGGTGTGATCTCGGCTCAATGCAACCTCCACTTCCCAGATTCAAGTGATTCTCCTGTCTCAGCTTCCTGAGCAGCTAGGATTACAGGCGCCCACCACCACACCCGGCTATTTCTGTATTTTTAGCAGAGATGGGGTTTCACCATGTTGTCCAGGCTGGTCTCTAATTCCTGACCCCAAGTCATCCACCTGCCTCAGCCTCCCAAACTTCTGGGATCACAGGCATGAGCCACCGTGCCTGGCCCTGATCTGGGATTTAAAGGGGCAGTTGCTGAGCAAATAGAAGCCAGGGCAAGAAAGGATTTATGTGCTTGGGATTCTTGAGGGGTTTTCCAGAGTCAGTCCCCAATTCTGATGTTTTTATACGCAACACTAGGGGTCCTTCTGAAGTTATCCCGGCCCCTGGGAAACTCACGTGGCATGGGGCCCCCTTCTGCCCTGGTCTCTTTCATCCCATCTGTCCCGGCCCCAGAGCCTGTCCAGTCTGGTCCTCTCTGTCCTGCTTGGTTTGTCACCATGTGATGTTGGGATGGCTTGTCTTTGCCGCCTCACTTCCTAAGCTGACAGACGTGTCTGCTAGGGACCACCAGCTCCCAAGCCGCATGACGGTGCTTTCCTTCAAGGTTCAGAGGCTTCCCTTTCAGTCTGGCCCATCTCCCACATCCTAATGGCTCTGCTGTCTCAGGGGCAGCTCTCCTTTTTAACTTATTGGCAGAGCTGGGATGACTTATAGGTCCCTGGCTCAGTGAGTAAGCAAGTTCAGAGACTTGGCTTTGGCCATTTTGTTCTCTTAGGCTCATCCTTGGATGCCAACAGGGAAATTACCTGCCAGATTTCAGTCACTACTTTTTAGAAGTTAAAAAAAAAAAAAAAAAAAAAAAAACCTCACAAACAAGATGTTTCTTTTTTGTGCAGGCACAATATGTAGTCTCTCCACTATTAAGGGGAGCAATCTCCTTAGCGCAGTGGTAGATTTTTTTTTAACATTCTTCATCTGTATTTATTTCTATTTTTCATTCTATAAGTTAGTCAATTAAATAATATTTATTGAGCAGTTACTAGGTTCTATAGATGATCAAAAGCAAACACACACACACTCTCGATCTTACAAGAGCAAGAGCTCTTTTTCGTACATATAATTTCTCAATCTTGTTTAAAGTACACACGCACATAAGAAGCTAATTAATAGTACAAGGCAGAATCAGTTAAATGCCACATGGGTGGCAGACAGTTTTATAAACACCACCCAAACCTTTATTTGTACAAAAGCAAAAGCAAGCAACCTCATCGTTAGGAGAGGAGTTACTGCCCCATAACCCAGGAAAGTCTTAAAAAGAAATTATACCAAGTGTACTTTTCATCTCTATTTCTGTTTTTCACTTTTTCAGTCAATCAGCCACTTACTATTTATTAAGTATTTCTTCCATCTAAGCAAGGTGGGGGAGGGAGAGAAAGAGATTATTCCTACGTTTATGATTCCAATCTTGTTTAAAGTGTATTCGTAAAACGTGAGTTAATAATGTGGCATCAAATGAGTGCCTTGTGGGCCTCTTGATGGTGAGTGTTATAGGAATGTAGAGGTCAAAGGAATTGCTGTGGACTGTGGTGTGTGTGAAAGCTTCATGGTAGACTTTTGACTTCAAGGTCAAAGACATTGCTGTGGACTTTGGTGGTGTGTGAAGGCTTCGTGGTAGACTGGGGCTGAGATGAGCCCCTAGGAAGGACCAGGATTTAGACGGGAGCTTGAGGAACAGGACAGACAGGTGGGGGGAGTGCTCCAAGGGAGCAAGGGATAGAGAGGGAGTAGATCAGTCTGCCTGGAGTTGAGGCTTTGTTTACAGGCGAGGTGCTGGTGAGGGTGGTGGAGAGGCATCCAGGAAGGTTGAAAATATATTTCTGTAGCCACCTGCCATCCTGCATGCAGGCACACACACATACACAGCAGCCGTCCTCTTGTTGAATGCCTCTTCTCACTAAATACAGATACATCCATGAGGCTTACACTTACTGCTCATTTAGTAAAGTAGTAAAGTCACAGTGGGAGCCCGGGAATCAGGAAATAAACACTCAGATGTTTTCCTTCTAGTTTTGATCAGCTGCCCTGAGAGAATGAGATTTTAAAATAATTTGACAGGCCGGCATGGTGGCTAACGCCTGTAATCCCAGCACTTCGGGAGGCTGAGGAGTGTGGATCACTTGAGGTCAGGAGTTCGAGACCAGCCTGGCCAACATTGTGAAACCCCTTCTCTACTAAAAATACAAAAATTAGCTGGGCATGGTGGTGTGCACTTGTAATCCCGCTACTCGGGAGGCTGAGGCAGGAGAATCGCTTGAACCTGGGAGGTGGAGGTTGCAGTGAGCCAAGATGGCACCCCTGCACTCCAGCCTGGGCAACAGAGCAAGACTCCATCTAAAAAAATAATAATAATTTGATAGAGAAAATTTTTGTTTTATTATAAAATACACGTATAAAACTTATCAAAACCATTTAAAACGATACAGTTCAGTCGTGTTAAGTATATGCACACCGTTGTGCAACAAATCTCCGAACAGTTTCATCTTATGAAACAGAAACTCCACGAAAAACAACCAAGAACAGTTTTATTTGAACCCAAGGGTACTTTCTGGGATGGAAAAGCTGGGAGCTCAATCTTGGATATTATAGTACTGTGGAGCTGGGATTATGGATGTCTGAGGCCAGTAGGAGCTCTGAGGCCATCCAAGATAGATGTGTCCATTGGAAATTGGGCTTAGAGTTAGAAACTGCTAAGTGGACATTATTTTAAAATTTATTTTGGATATTCAGCTTCCGAACACTGTCCTACGTTTGGGAACCTCACTGTTGCGTGAGTCATGGCATCACCTACAACGGAAGCTGAAAAGGTCAGTACCTGCTTTCTCCATATCCTGCTGCCCAGGGCATGCAACTTGACCTTAGCACAACCAATCCTCCTGTAGCCTGGTACTTTGAACCTGAAGTAAGCAACGTGAAGAACAGGGGACAGGTTAGGGCTACCTCAGGTGTTGGTGCTGAATTATCGTAACTGCTTCTGTGTGTGTCTGGGCCGTGGGCCTTCTGACCACCACCTTCCTTTGGTTTCTGCCCATTTTCCAGGCTACATTGTCCAGTGTCCCTGTTTTTTTGAGACAGAATTTCACTCTTGTTGCCCAGGCTGGAGTGCAATGCCATGATCTCGGCTCACTGCAACATCCACCTGCCAGATTCAAGTGATTCTCCTGCCTCAGCCTCCCGAGTAGCTGGGATTACAGGTGTGTGCCACCACATCTGGCTAATTTTAGTATTTTTAGTAGAGACAGGGTTTTACCATGTTGGCCAGGCTGGTCTCGAACTCCTGACTTCAGGTGGTCCACCCGCCTCGGCCTCCCAAAGTGTTGGGATTACAGGCGTGAGCCACCGCGGCCAGCCCCTGTCAATTCTTTGAACACCTGTTAGCTAGCATTCCAACTTGGTTGGTTTCTGTCATTTGCAACCGAGAATTCTGTCTCTTTTGTCTGGTTGTCTCTCTGTGGTCACCATGCCTTTATCAGTCTGTGTCATCCCGGGCTGAAGTTCCTCACGTGATATTTAGTTGCTTGTGGCCAAAACCCGCCTTCACTGCAAATGCATCGGTTCCTCATCATTTCTCCTCTGGACCAGCAAGGGGCTTTCCTCTCGCCCATCCATCTCCCACCTTTTCGTTTTGTAGGTAGAACCTGGAGGGAGCGGCAGTAATTCATCATCCATGGAACGTGCCTGTCTGTGGCCTGGACCTGTGGGATTTGGCCGGCGTTCCCTTTGCATTACATTTGGTACTTGGAAGCAAGCATCCCTCAGTAGGGACAAGGCTCCAGCTGTCCCTTTCATTAGGGCCCTGCCAAGGACGTTTCCTTTGTTCAGCACCTCCTCCTGCCTGCCCTTAGGACCATCTTCCAAAAAACTCTGCTCTGCCCTCACCCGCTGCTGTCCCCTCCCACCTGTAAGACCAGGCCAGCTCAGCACCTTTCCCTGTCTCCTTGTCTAGCACTGCTGCTTCTGTGTGATGCTCCGGCATGGTGAGTTGACCAACACCATCGCTTAAATGTGCTGTGCCTTTTACAATTATGTGGCTTTGCAGGTGCTGTTCCCTTGCCTTTTTTTCTTTGCCCGGCAAATTCTACTGGTTTGTCAGTCACTTCTCCTTTCTGATAGCCTTTGTGACTCTCCCAGCTGTTACTGGGTCCTGGTCACCCTCTAGGGCCTTGTGTAAACCTTTCTTTCAGGTTTTACCCAGGGCACTGTACTTACTTGTATATGTACTTCTCTCCCCGCCTAGACCCCCATCTCCCTACGGATAGGAAAGGAGTCTCCTCCTCATCTTTGTACCGAGTTTGCAAGCACAGTGCCTGTGCGTGGCAGGCCCTCTGTACCTGTTGACTATCGTGCAGTGGAGATTCAAGCTGGCTGATCTGTGCCTGGTGCTTAATGGCTGTGATGAGTTTGCCACATTCCCTTCTCCCTCGAGGTCTTCTCAACGGTCTGATGGTAATGCTGGGAATTTCAGGCTTTCTGGCAGACTGTCAGGGAGAAATTTCAGTGCAGAAAGGCCTTCTAGAACCTCACGAATAAGGGGTGCTGCTCACATCTTGTGAGTCCTCCCCCTTCCTGACATGAGTCTCAGTGCCGGCAAACACGGCTGGTTGAACCCTGAGCTAGCCCAGCTGCTTTGTTCACCTTACGTTTGGGGAAGGCTGAAATTTTATTGAGCACCGACTGTATTCCACACACTCTTCTAGGTGCCCGAAATATGCTGTTAAACAAATACTCAGCCCTCATGGGGCTGAGAGTCTGGTGGGGAAGACCTGTTGAAAAACAATCATATTAAATGAATTGCATTGCATGTTAGAAGATCGTAAGTACTCTGGGGGAAAATGAGAGTAGAACAGGATAAGGGGGTGATGGAGGGAATGAGTGGTGATTTTAAATGTAGTTATCAGGCTGGGCACAATGGCTTACACCTGTAATCCCAGCATTTTGGAAGGCCAAGACGGGCAGGTCACTTGAAGTCAGGAGTTTGAGACCAGCCTGGCCAACATGGTGAAAACCTGTCTCTACTAAAAATACAAAAATTAGCTGGGCACAGTGGCTCATGCCTGTAATCCCAGCACTTCGGGAGGCTGAGACGGACAGATCACTTGAGGTCAGGAGATCGAGACCAGCCTGGTCAACATGGTAAAACACTGTCCCTACTAAAAATACAGAAATTAGCCAGCAATACAAAAATTGGCAGCTGTAGTCCCAACTACTTGGGAGGCTGAAGCACAAGAATCGCTTGAACCCAGGAGGTGGGAGGTTGCAGTGAGCTGAGATTGCGCCACTGCACTCCAGCCTGGGCGACAAAGCGAGACTCTGTCTCAAAAAAAAAAAAAAAAAAAAAAAATCCAAACAAAAAACATAGTTATCAGAGTGGGTCTCTTTGAGATAGTAGCAGTTGAGCAGCTTGAAGATAGCAGGGGAGTTAGTTCATGGGCTTCCAGGCAGAGGGAGCAGCCAGTGCCAGCACCAACGTGGGAGTGTGCCTGGAGACTCTAAGGAACAGAGTGTGCAGCAGGACTGGGGCACAGTGGTGGGGAGGCCAGAGGGGCTGCGGGTGTGGGCCGGGCAGGTGGAGGAGGCCTTGAGGGCTGTTGAGAGGACTGGGCTCTTGCTATTACTTTTAGCCATATGGGAGTCATTGCAATCCTTTGAGCTGAGGGGTAGCTCGTTCTGATTTTCATTCTGAAAAGACCCGTCTGGCCACTGTGTTGAGAATAGATGTTCCTGGTAAACAGGGGTGGGCAGGGAGAACAGCTCCCCTGCACCAGCTCCCGCTGGGCTGCAGACAGGCTCTGATGTGGCTTGCAGCACGGTGGCAGCAGGGGGAGGTGGCACCGAGCAGCAGGACCCTGGATATTTTTTTGGACATAGAGCCAGGAGGATTTCCTCATGGTTCTGATGAGGGTTGAGAGAGAGAAGGGGAGTCCGGATCATCCCAAGGTTTCTGGCAGACAGATGATGTTTCACCAGCTAAGATGGAGCGGTCCTGGAAAGAGTGAAGATCAAGAGTTTCATTCTGGAAATGTGGGGGTTTTCGCTGTCTGTCAGAGAGTCGTGGAGCTGCTGGGAGGTGGTTAGTGTGGACTTCTGGAGAGAGGGCTGAAACTGTCCTTGAAAAAATGGATTTCTCAGTGTGATGTGTATACAGTGTCCCTTTTTCAGACATGGCACCTTCGTCCATTTGGGCTGCTATAACAAAATGCCATGGACTGGGAGGCTTAGAAACCACAGAAATTATTCCTCACAGTTCTGGATGCTGGGAAGCCCAAGATCAGAGTGCCAGCAATTTGGTGTCTGGTGAAGGCTCGCTTCCTGGTTCATAGGCGGCTGTCTTCTTGCTGTGTTGTCACGTGTAGAAGGGACAAAGGAGCTCTCTGAAGTCCCTTTGTAAAGGGCAGTAATCACCTCCCAAGGCCCCGCCTCCTAATGCCATTACATTTGGGGTTAAGATTTTAACATATGATTTTGGGGGGACTGAGGGACATAAACATTTAGTCTGTAACACAAAGGGAGGTTAATTTGGATTAAGAAATCTAAGGCCATATGGGGGAAATAAAAGGCTGGAGGGCTAAAGAAGGATGAACCAATAAAAGTCTTATAAGCATTATTATGTTTACTAAAATAAAATAGACCAACACATTAAACAATGACATCAAAACATCAATGGACAACATATACTTTATATATCTTAACTTAGAAGTTATAGATGCTGTACTATGAGCCCCACTTAGGAGTTCTTGCTTAATAGAAAACATTGTAGGTTCTGGGAGGCTGAGGCGGGCGGATCACGAGGTCAGGAGATCGAGACCATCCTGGCTAACACGGTGAAACCCCGTCTCTACTAAAAATACAAAAAATTAGCTGGACGTGGTGGCGGGCGCCTGTAGTCCCAGCTACTCAGGAGGCTGAGGCAGGAGAATGGCGTGAACCCAGAGGTGGAGTTTGCAGTGAGCCGAGATCGCACCACTGCACTCCAGCCTGGGAGACAGAGTGAGACTCCATCTCAAAAAAAAAAAAAAAAAGGAAACATTGTAGGTTCTCACTTCTCTGCAGCTTTAGTTTTACCAAGTTGCTTTTACATTTACCTTGCTCTATTATAGGTAATAGATGTGAAGCTTCCGATTCCTGGCTCAGAGTTGGTGACTTCCATCTCCCGTGGAAGATGCCTCTGAGTCCACTCAGGATCTTGTGTGGTCACAAAGGTGTAGGAAACGTCTGGACACTTGAGGTGGAAGATGCTTTGGGGCATTCCCTTCCAGATTCACGGTGTCCTGCAGCCTTAGTTCTTTCCAGAAGCACGTCACACGTGTGGCATCCACCTCCCCTGCACAGGCTGGGCTCCTCCCTCCTTCCCTGGGGTTCCCCTGGGCTTCACATGCCCTCATCTTCCTTTATTTTTCTTGAGGCATTGTTGAAAAGCCTCTACTCCTTTGTGGGGCTGTTTTACCTCCTGGTAAAAAGGTTCCGGTCCTGAGCTCACGGTTTCTCTCATGTCCCCTGTGGGAGTAATTAGAGCTAACCTTCCTGGTGGTGCTGGAAACCTCTGTGGAAGCTGGTTCATGTATGCCTCAACTTTGCATAACAGGGAACATGATCCTAGAATATTCTTTAGGGTAGCATTTCCCAAATTTTCCAGGGAATAAGAATCTCCTGGGCTCCTTGCCTAAGCATCAAGCACTGATTTAGACTTAGCGACCCAGAACCTCCAGGAGAGGGGCCTGGGAATCTGGGTTGTGAGGCTACACCTGTTGGAGGGATCGGAGGGGCCCAGTATATGATACTCCCCTTTCCTGCCCAGCTTCTGAATGAATTGAGACAAAAACAATGACTAGGACAAATGAGAGGTCAAAATGTCCTCATAGAGGCTTGGCTGGAGGATGCTGCGTTAAGTCAGCTAGCCCAGTAGGCCTGCTAATTGAATTCCTGGAATGAGGCTGATGTACCGCAGAGGCCTCCCTGGGAGCAGGGCCGCTGGAGCAGCAACAGAACCTTGCAGCCTGCAGAAGCTCACAACCAAAACAGAGAACAGGGCTGAGCTGCGCTGAGCAGAGCTCTGGGATTCTCTTAAATCTATCAGTCGAAATTATTTCTCCTGAGGCACATAGGAAGTAGAGAGGGCTGAGAGAGGCCGGGAGTGTGTAGGGGCGTGGAGGCTGCAGGGTGGAGGAGAGTCCCTCCTCCTGGCAATCAGGAATGGGAAAAAGCATCTCTTTTACACACCCCAGGTGATTTGCATGATCAGGAAAGTCTGGGAAGTGGGTCTTAGGAAGCCTGCAATGTTGTCTCTTGTCTGTGCTTTCCACCAGCGTTCCAGTTTTGCACTTTTGGTATTTCTGAGCAAGCTCAGCTTCTGTGTTTTGGGGTACTGGCTCCTAAGAGCAGCTGGGTGTGTGATTAGACAAGGAACTGCTTCACTAGTTTATTTTCATTGTGAGCACACTTCAATATCACTCTTTACATGAACATGAGCAAATGGGTTTAATTTTGAAGTCAGGGCTTGGGATTCTTGCCTTTGTGTCTATGTATATGTGTGTTCAACAGAATAACCAGTGTGAAACCTAACCTAGCCGAACATAACCGGAATAACCAGGGTAAAACCTAACCATCTGTGTATATATTCACAAATACATACATAAATGTGTATATATAAAATACATATATACATATACATATGTAAAATACATATATGTATATATAAAATATATGTATTTTATTTTGAAATAATTACAGTCATAGGTTGCAAAGAAAAATGTACAGGGAAGTCCCATGAATGCTTCCAGTTTATATTTTTTGAAATTGAGAAATATAATCTTAGAAGATGGTAAAGCTGGTTTTTTTTTTAAGTTGGCAAAGAATATGCAGTTAAATTCAGGCATGGAGAGAAAATTGCTTTGAAAGGAAGATTTTTTGCATTGACTTTTGTGTGTGACATTAGCTGTCTGTTTTGGAAAATCTAAGAGCAATATCTGATTATCTATGCTTTCCATCCCTAAAACCACCAACACATAGAGGCTACTGAATCTCCCGAAGGGCCTCGGTGATGGGCCTGGGCAGGAGGAGGCCCCTGCAGCCTGTGGGTGGTGCATGGGCAGCATCTCCTCTCTGCAGTGTCCTGCAGCAGCAGTGCAATGTGATTGATTTCAGAAATTTAAAAAATATTTGCTGACACTGCACTCCAGCCTGGGCGACAGAGCGAGACTCCGTCTCAAAAAAAAAAATAATAATAATAATTTCCTGGGATAGGTAGGGGAAACGGAAATTTACATGATTGCCAACCTGACTACTGATATTTTCCAAGGAAGATTACCTCTGTGAGGGCCTTTTTGCTTTAAATGTCACCTTCATGGTGTTCAGCAATGTTCACTGAGCGTATGACCTGGCTTTGTGCACCGAGAAAACTGCCCAAAATAACAGGTGCCACAGCTTGGTCACAAGACAGACACAGGGCCAGTAAGGTGCTGTCAGTTGTACCCCCTATGCTAAGCTGTGAAATTCTAATCCCCCGGCCCCACTTTCTAACCGTGGAAATGTTGGGTTGTGCCATATCCTGGTATGAATTTTCTTTGTGGAATGATAGGCCCATAGAGTTAAGTTTTCTCTACTGCTGACTTTTACTCACTTAATTTTTACTCAAGTTCTTAAACTTGAGTGTGCATCTGAATCCCCTGGAAAGCTTGTTAAAACGCAGATTGCTGGGCTCTGGCCCCAGAGTTTCTGATTAGGTGGGTCTGAGGTGGGGCCTGAAAATGGGCATTTTTTTTTTCTTTTTTTAAAAGTTTTAGGGTACATGTGCACAATGTGCAGGTTAGTTACATATGTATACATGTGTCATGCTGGTGTGCTGCACCCATTAACTCGTCATTTAGCATTAGGTATATCTCCTAATGCTATCCCTCCCCCCTCCCCCCATCCCACAACAGTCCCCGAAGTGTGATGTTCCCCTTCCTGTGTCCATGTGTTCTCATTGTTCAATTCCCACCTATGAGTGAGAACATGCGGTGTATGGTTTTTTGTCCTTTCGATAGTTTGCTGAGAATGATGGTTTCCAGTTTCATCCACGTCCCTAAGTTCCCAAGGGATGCTGATGCCTCTGGTTTGGAGTCTGCACTTTGAGAACTCTCGCTCTAGGCAAAGCTGGCAAATTTGTCTCAGGTAGGGGCACACCTGCTATCTTCCAGGTAGGCACTGTTCCTCTACTCTTCTGCGTCATCTCAGCTTCATTTCTCCCTCGGGGTACCAATGCTCTGAAACCTCCTGCTGTGGACTGAAACATTCTCTTTGGTTAATTCAAACTGAAATATTCTATTTGGCATCAACTAACATTTGCATATTTCTGGGGGACCAGCCACTTTGCTGCAAGGTGCTTGTATTTGTTATTTAATCTCTACCACAACCCTGTGAGGTCAATTGTGAAGTCCCCCTTTAATGAGACTCAAGAATTCAATGACATTTTCAAGGTCAAGCACGATGCCAGGTCTCAGGCTTGGAGCCTCTGGTACTGGGCCACTGGTCTTCCTTCTCTCTAGCTTCAACATCCTTCTGAAGAGCAATTGGGTCCTTTGTGAGGATGCTTCGAGGTTGGACCAAGTAAATGAATATCTGTTTGGTAACATTGTTGACACTGCTGTATCGAGCTGCTCTAAGAAAGGGAAACATTTTTGGTTCAGAGGACATTCACAGCACTGTGCTTGTTGGAGTATTTGTACCATTGCCTCTTCCAACAGTTACATTTTGCTCTTCTTTCCCTCAAGAGTAGAAGAGGGTGGAGAAGAGGAAATGATTATAATTCATTCCTTTCCCCTCCCTGCCAATTTCTCACAATACCCTTATTGGGAGGCCAAGGCAGGTGGATCACTTGAGGTCAGGAGTTCAAGACCAGCCTGGCCAACATGGCGAAACCCTGTCTCTACCAAAAATACAAAAATTAGCCGGGCGCGGTGGCAGGTGCCTGTTGTCCCAGCTACTCAGGAGACTGTGGGAGGAGAATCGCTTGAACCTGGGAGGCGGAGGTTGCAGTGAGCTGAGGTCGTGCCGCTGCACTCTAGCCTGGGTGACAGAATGAGACTCCGTCTCTTTAAAAAAAAAAAAAAAAAAAAAAGGCACATTTGAAGTTCTGAGTGTGAAGTGTGCTTCAGGATAGTAAATGGAAATGGCAAAAGAAAATATCCAGTGGAAATCTTTGCCATCTTTGGGATTCTCTTTAGTTTTTGCTCATTTTTGCCTATCCTGCAAGGGTAACAGAAAGCTCTGAGATTTGGAGGTCAGACAAACCTGTCTGGCTCCTGCCCTGATTCTGCTCCTTGAGGGTTCTAGTGCAGGGAGGACCTCTGGCAAGTTGGAGGATTGTACCTCTCTGAGCTAGAGAACTGGCAGAAGGACAAAATGTAATTTACTCCACTGTAAGCCCTTGGAAAGCAGGTACCTTGTCTGTTTGGCACCCCAGTGGCAGCCCATGCCCAGCAGCTGTCATTGGTTGGGGGTGGGTGGTGGGTGAGTGCACCCTAGTGGGTAGTTGGAGGATTAAATGAGATAGTATGCAAATAGAGGAGAGTAGGTAAGTTCCCCCTCCATCACTGGATGTTTTTGCTACTTCCCCTACTCTTTTGTTTGTTTGTTTGAGATGGAGTTTTGCTTTTGTTGTCCAGGCTAGGTGCAACGGTGCAATCTCAACACACTGTGACCTCCGCTTCCCGGGTTCAAGCGATTCTCCTGCCTCAGCCTCCTGAGTAGCTGGGATTACAAGCGTCCACCACCACGCCTGGCTAATTTTTTGTATTTTAGTAGAGATGGGGTTTCACCATGTTGGTCAGGCTGGTCTCGAACTCCTGACCTCAGGTGATCCGCCCGCCTCGGCCTCCCAGAGTGCTGGGATTACAGGCGTGAGCCACCGTGCCCGGCCCCCTCCTCTCTTTTTATCTCTCTGCTCTTTAGTTAGCTGGCCTCATGATTCCCATTTTTATTTTGTTTACCTTTTCTGTTAAAGAAATTTTTGCCCAGGCTACCCTTTAGGCAGGGAGGAGAACTTCCCCCTACCTCTTCTTTCTAAGCTACAACATCAAAAAAAAAAAAAAAAAAATTAGCTAATGGCTCTCCCCTTCCAGGCAAATTTCTAGGATTAAACGACTTGATGCTTTTTTGCTCTGATCCAGGCCCACCTTTCCAGCCCACATATAGTAATAATTATGGTTTTATGTTTTTAGGGCTCCACTTTTGTTTGATTTATCTCCCCATGAGGATGTAAGCCTCTTAGGAATGGGGATCATGATTCTTCCTGACTTTTAAAATAACAACTGTTTCTGGCTCCTATTTGGTTTATGCTCCATCATGTAATTTGCTGTCATTCTTGTATTCAGCTGATTTATCCTTAATCCTGTATCTCGGTTGTTTGCTTTTTTATCCCTAAGTGCCCTACCTTGCAGAGCCCTGGCGTCATATAACTATTTATTAAATAAGCTTCACGGAACCTCAACGGGGACTCTGTTCACATGTACCAGCAGTGTGCTCCTTCTCCTTTCTGCATCCAAGACATGATCCTCAGTAGGAATTGAGAACAAAACCCAGCTCTTTAGCCAAAAATGGTTTCTGAGGTTCGGTTTTCATAAATTCAGAAAGGGGGCTTTTTTCCCCTCCATCTGGCCATAGGATATTGTTGGCCTCTCTTTTATTTATTTTATTTTATTTTTATTTTTATTTTTATTTTTTGAGATGGAATCTCACTCTGTCGCCCAGACTGGGGTGCAGTGGCATGATCTCGGCTCACTGTAACCTCTGCCTCCTGGGTTCAAGCAATTCTCCTGCCTCAGCCCCCTGAGTAGCTGGGATTACAGGTGTGCGCCACCATGCTTGGCTAATTTTTTTGTATTTTTAGTAGAGATGAGTTTTCACCATGTTGACCAGGCTGGTCTCGAACTCCTGACCTCAGATGATCCACCTGCCTCAGCCTCCAAAGTACTGAGATTACAGGCATGAGCCATCGTGTCCAGCCGGCCTCTCTTTTAGAAGACTCTGTCCCATTGTCCTTTAAGGGCATGTCACTTCCCTGGAGGTCAAAATCATGTCATACTAGTTTTTGCAATCCACAGCTCCTTGCACAATTCCTGGCCCAGGGAGTGGGTACATCATCAATGTGTGAGGAACAGACTGCCATGAAATAGTGTAAAAAATCCACATAGTACACTTGTGAGAAAAGAGATAAGAACCAGAATTTTCCAAGCAAAGGGATAGAGAGCTACAAGGTGGAATTCAGCAGGCTCACACCTATTGGGTGTTAGAGAGATGAACTTAGATCACATTTATTTAAACATCTCTGAGTGCAGTATTTTTAAAGATCACACAAGAATAAAACTGTAGCACTGAACTTTTCTTTAAGTGTTGAAGTGAAGGAAATGAAGAACTCAGCACGGACCCTGCTTAGACTCCGGCAGAACAGGTGGTCTTGACATGACGTCGCTCCAACATGCACGCAACTTGCCTTTTATTCTCTCAGCTCTTTGTGCCACTAGTACATGGTCACCTGGGCATTTCTTTAGAAAGGGTGCAGAGACTTTCATTTCGTGAAAATATAGATGTCCCAGGGAAAAATAATAATCCAACTGGTATAAGTTTATATCAAACCATATGGAAGTGATTTTTTCTGGTTAGTCATTTTCACGGGGATTAGAGAGTAGAGAAAAGTCAAAGAACCAGGGATTCCCAAGGACACACTTGGCCTGGTCAATATTACTAGGATTGGCCCAGATGCCACCAAATCCTTTTTTCTTCCTACTTATTGAAAACCCTGTTAAATTTGATATGTGTAATATCTTTTCTCTAAAATTTTAGCCTTGCAAATAAAATTTTGCATAACATTTTTATTGACAAGACATTGTGTCACATTAAGGCTTTTGAAGGTGATGAAATGGACATGACATCTTCACCTTAGCAAGTAACACTGAATTAAAGAAGTTTGTATTTCAGAGTGGAAGAGTACAGTATAAAATATTTGAATTCAGACACTTTAGAGCTTGGACCCTGTCAGAAGCTTGGAAATACTTCGATTTTAAAGCTGCTACTCTTCCATTTACCTCACTCCAGGAAATCCTTTTAGAAATCATACTCTTGAGGGAAGAAGACCTAGGGGATAGAGCATGACTCCACTGAGAAATTTAATTTAGGAAAATAATGGGGGAAGGGGCTGTAGCCTAGAGGCTAAAAACCCATGCTCTGGAGCTAGACTGCCTGGCTTCACATCCCAGCCCTACCACCTTTTAACTAGTGTACTGACCTTGGGCAAGTTACTCAACCTCTCTGATCCTGCTGCTTAATCTGTACAATGGGATGTGTGGTAGTATTGGCCTTGTAGGGTTATTTGGAGCATTACTTGAGTCAATACCAGTGAAGGCACATCTTTAGCAGAATGTGATGACTGAACATGCACTCAACTGGGGACTCGTTTGTTGTAAAGATTATCCAGGAAATTGGGAGGAGCAAGGTAGTCATCACCAAGTATAGGACTTGAGGGAGGTTTCCAGACCTTTGAGGTCCAAATTGCAAGGAGGAGGGGAAGGAAGGATGGCCAGGCAATAGTTGGGAGGGAAGTGAAGTGAAGACCCCAGGCTATCTGTCGGTACCTTTGCTGGCTGCTGGGAGGGGCAGTGTCTGGACTCTGGAGACCACGCCTCCAGAGACCACACCCTCCAAGAGGCCACACCCTTCTAGAGGCCACGCCTTCGTGGAAACCACACCCCCCCCCTTGCTCTGGGCCAGTTGGCAGCCCCTGCTCTTGGGGCTGGACCACTCCTTCCCAGAGACCATCCATTGTACAAGAAGCACGGTCTTTGATAGGCTTGGAGGAAAATCCCTCTTCCCTCTCCGGATCCATAAGGACTGCAGAGAGCAGCCCTCACACAGCAAGGCTAATTCCTGGAAACCCTTAAGAACCCCAGATCAGCTTGATTCCAACACAAAGGAGTAATCAAGGCGGTTGCAAAGGAAACAATGGCAAGTGTTTTGTGAAGCATTTTTTTAAGAGAGTGTGATGGAAAATTTTCTTTTTGAGGAAGAACATGTTCTCCTTGTTGGAAATGAAGTTGATTTTAGTTATAATTACTACCAAAGACAAAGGTTCATTTTCACACAGACAATGTGATGAAGCCCCAAACAGTGGAAGTCAGCTCTGATTTCAAAATAGACGCGTGAAGGTATCCGTGCCTCTGGGTGAGAACAAACTTGTAGGCCTTAGTTCTTTTGTAGGTGTGAAATGTTCTCCTCAAAAACTGCAACGTTCACTTAATGAAGTTTGAAACTTTGCTGCAAAGTTTTAAAAATCTTTTAAATAATTTACTCTATCTAGGAAGATTGCAAATGATAGTGATGTTAACAAATTGCCCTATTTGGTCTTAGTGGATTGTTTAATTCCTTACTCTGAACAATACATTTCTTGTGTTTTCTTATCAAATGGCTGAAATATGAAAGAATGTGTGGACCCATAAGGAAAAAGGAGAAAACTATGAGAAGAATTAATAGGGTTGAAAGATGATTTCAGGTGATTTTCAAGGCTGAAATTATGATATTAGAATCTGAATATCTTTTATTTAAGAATTGTAATTCTTTCTGAGTGGCTTTGCGAGCCTTCTTTGTGGATCCTTGTGAATCCCTGCAGGGAGGGGAGAGCAGGTGCCATCTTGTCCTTGTTTTGCAGAAGGGGAAGGGGAACCAGGCTGAACGACTTGCCCAACCACTTACCTACCTTGCATGGACTGTTGCTATCCAAGGGGAGCCGAGACAGCTGGGAGATTTGTTCCTGTCCTTTCTTCATTTAAGGATTTACTCTGTGCCAGAAACTGTGGTCAGGCATTGGAGAGTCACAGCTGGCTAAGACACCTTGCCTGCCTTCCAGGATGTTCTCGTCTCATGCAGGAGGCAGACATAATAGGAGGTACTCTTATATTAGTCAGGGTTCTCCAGAGAATCAGAAGCAATTGAAACAGAAGCAATTATATCTATTTGCTTACACACACACAAATATATATATTTATACACATGTACACACATATATACATACACATACACATATATAATTTACTATTTACTATATTTATTTATTATGAGAAATGGGCTCACATGATTATGGAGGATCTGCCATCTGCAAGCTGGAGACCCAGGAAGGCTGGTGATATATATAATAATTCAGTTGGAGTCTGAAGAGAAGCTGAGAACCAGGGGAGCTGATAGTGTAAATCCCAGTCCAGGGGCTAGAGAAGATGAAGTGAGATGTCGTAGCTCAAGCAGTGAGGCAGAGAACACAAGGGGGCAGATTCCTTCCTCTGCATTTTGTTCTATTCAGGCCCTGAATGGATTGGCTGATGCCCACCCACATTAGGTAGGGCAGTCTCCTTTACTGAGTTCACCAATTCACATGCTAATCTAATCTGGAAACACCCATACAGACACACCCAGAAATCGTGTTTAATCTGGGCATCCTGTGGTCCAGTCAAGTTGACATGTAAAGTTAACCATCACACTGACAGTAGAGGTGTGAGCTAATGGTCTGAGCTCATGGACCAGGAAGCAATAACCTTGGTGTGTGTGGGTTGAGAAAGGCCTGTGTCATGGAAGGCTGTGTCTTTGAGGGCAAGTAGAAGCTTCTTAAATAAAAAAGATGATGGAGAAGGAAGACAGGATAGCAAATGCAAAAGTAGAGAAACTTACTTGAAAATTTTAGACAACAGTGAGAAGTACAGTAGAAGATGAGGTATTGTTTGGGCAGGATGGGGGACATGGTGGGAGTGGGGGATAAGGCCCAGGTCACGAAAGACCTTCTCCATTACGCTAAGGGATTCTGACCCATTTCTCTAGGTGGGGAGGTCAGTGGAGGTTTATAAACAGAGGAAAATGTCATGTTGTATACCATATAAATATGGTCGTAATTTGGAGGATGGACAAGTTAGGTAAAGGGACTCATTTTTTTTCTCTTTGATTGTCTGCCTCAATTGGGTATTTCTGGATTCCTGAAATGAGGCTTCATGCCCTGGACTGAGATACTGGCCATCATTAGGAGGAGTTAGAGTCCATGATTGATTGACTTTTCTTTTCTCTTCTTTTTTCTCTTCTCTTCTTTCTCTTCTCTTTTCTCTCTTCTCTTCTTTCTCTTCTCTTTTCTCCTCTTCTCTTCTCTTCCTTCTCTTCTCTTCTCTTCTCTTCTCTTCTCTTCTCTTCTCTTCTCTTCTCTTCTCTTCTCTTCTCTTCTCTTCTCTTCTCTTCTCTGTTCTGAGACAGAGTCTCCCTCTGTTGCCCAGGCTGGAGTGCAATGGCACAATCTCGGCTCACTGCAAGCTCTCCCTCCTGGGTTCAAATGATTCTCCTGCCTCAGCCTCCCAAGTAGCTGGGTTACAGGCATGCACCACCACGCCTCACTAATTTTTTGTATTTTTAGTAGAGACAGGGTTTCGCCATGTTGGCCAGGCTGGCCTCGAATTCCTGACCTCAGGTGATCCATTCTCCTCAGCCTCCCAAAGTGTTGGGATTACAGGCGTGAGCCACTGAGCCCAGCTGATTGTTTCAATCAATTTTCAATTTTCAAACTTTGTGGTTTTGCAACATGTACACAAATACCTGCAAATATCCTTTCTCCCATTTCAAAAGAAATTGAAGGGATATATACATACATAGGTACATTTTAAATTGAAATTGATTGAAATTTATTACGTCTTTGAGAATTTTTTTTTGGAGAATTGGAGTTTTTCAGGTACATCTGAAACTTGAGGTACACCATAAAAAATGATAGTTCTTCCCACTCACCTTACAGAAAGTCCTTTTCTGTATCCCATGTGACAACTGTAGTCATTATGGCAGCCACAGACGTTTGCTAGATAAAGTAAAGCAACTGCCGTTTTCATCATGCAGTAACCTGCCACAACTCCATACTAGATTCTGTGCTTGGTACTGGGGAAACACAAGTACAATTTTTCATGGTTACTACCTTCAAGGGTAGGCTCAGTAGCTATTCAGAAATAGTCTATAGTCAAGTGCACAGAGACAACGGTAGAATGGTGGTCACCAGGAGCTGCTGGGAGGGAAAATAGGGAGTTATTGTTTGTTTGTTTTTGTTTGTTTGTTTGTTCTTTTTTGAGATGGAGTTTTGCTCTTGTCACCCAGGCTGGAGTGCAGTGGCATGATTTGGCTCACTGCAACCTCCGCCTCCCGGATTCAAGCGATTCTCCTGCCTCAGCCTCCCGAGTAGCTGGGACTACAGGCATGGACCACCACGCCTGTAGTGATACCATGTTTAGTTACATCTTTTATAAAGATTTTCCTATTCTCCTTATTAACAATATTTTAACAATATTATTCTAATAGTTATGGTTCAATATTTAAAGAAACCGGAACTACTTAGTCTTTTTTTTTTAAAAGACCTAATTCACGTGAAAAAGGAAAAACCCCTTGTGCAAAAAAAATGAATTTTAGAATGAAACCATTCTGACTGGGTGAAGAAGTCTATTTCTAATGTGGGGGGTATGGGCTGAATGATGTTCTTCCAAAATTCATAAGTTGAAGCCCTAACCCCCTAGTACCTTAGAATGTGCCTGTGATTGCAGATGGGGTCTTTAAAGAGGTAATGAAGTTAAAGTGAGGTCATTAGGTTGGGTCTTAATCCAATAGACTGGTGTCCTTAGAAGATGAGGAAGAGACACCGGGAGGGTGTGTGCACAGAGGCAAGGCTGTATGAGGACACGGGGAGTAGACAGCCATCTGCCTGCCAAGGAAGGGCTTCCAGAAGAAACCACTCCTGCCAACACTTCATCTCAGATGTCCAGCCTCCAGGACTGTGAGACAAGACGTTCCTATTAAGTCAGTCAGTCTGTGGTACTTGGTTAAGATGGTCAGAGCAAACTGCTACAGTAATTGGGAAAACTGCATGTGTGTGTGTGCATGTGTGTGCGTGTGTGTGCGTATGCTCTCATCTTGGTGCACCTGCGCCAGCATCTGAATGCTTGAGTTGGTCATGGCACACTGGGCCCCAGGTGTCCAGAGACAGATATCCAGGTGCAGTGTCAGATGGGCCGTTCAGGTTCCTTGGGTCCATCTCTCCTACGATGGCCAGTTTGTTTGGAGGATCACATCGGATGAATGGAAGGAAGTGGTAGCTGGTCTCATGGCCATGGCACTCTTCAGCCTATCAAATATAAATGCAGAAGTCAGGACCACAGGAACAGTCTCTACTAAAGTGGAGGACCTGCCTTCCATTGCCTTTCGGTGCCAGGGAGACCTGGGGGAAAGCCTTTCACCTGGATGGGAAGGTCTTGGTATTGATACCACATCTCTGCCTTGACCTTCAATCACTGCATCTCATCTCTGATCACTTTTCTTCAGCTTTGGTCTTTAGTTACAACATTCATGCAATTAAGTGATAAACGAGTTATCCCTAACTTTTTTAGATTAAAGGACACAGCAATCACCTTTCTGTCCGAGAGCACAGGCAAATGTTTTTGGGTCATGTAGACAGGAGGTTGTTTTAAAAAGCCGAGGTGGTACCATGTGATGTTTATTTTATGATCTCTGGAGTCAGACCACTGGGTTTTAACTCCTGTCTCCTCAGTTTGCTTTATATCACTTAGCAAATTTGTCAGCTTCCTGACCCTCAGTTTCATTATCTATAAAATGGTTTAATAGTCATTTTTTTTTATCAGGGGTTTTGAGAAGATTAATGAGGTAATGTATTGTTTATGTCACGTGGCCTGACACACGGTAAGTGCCTGATAAATGTGAGCAACTCTTCCTACATTATTAAGCATCCCATCAAATTGTACTTTAGGAATTATAGTGGCTAGGAAATGCACTTTGAATTCCAACAATTCTGGACTATTTAGCTCCACTTGAATTTGTGTCAGAAATATGGTAAATTTAATGAAGCTGGCTCATCGTTAAAATGCAAAGCTGTTCTGAGTCTGAAAAGAGACAATGCCTGGGAAGTATTTAATAGGGGCCCAGAATTTTCTAAGTGATCAATAAATGGTGACGATAAAATGTGCAGAGTCAAGATGGGTATGATCTTGGTTTCCGTCCAGCTCTTCCACTAAGTAGCTTTGTGGCCTAAGGAAAGTCTCTTAAGTTCCTCAAGCCTCTCTCTCCTCATTGGTAAAGTATCAACAATAGTCGAACCTACCCTCCTAGGTTTGTGGTGAGGCTGAAATGTGCTTTGTGGGGCTTTGTATCGCTTTGTATTATGGTGGTGGCGGTTTTCCCCTGACATAGCTCTCTAGGATATGTAATGGTAAAGGATGAATAAGGGCTTTTCAAAATGGAGCTCTGAGCGGCTGTGGGAGCAATCTGTGTGGTACATCTGTGGCCCCGCTGGCTGCCAGGTGTCTGGAGACCTGTGCTCCATCTCTCCCCTCATGCCATGTGCCTCCCTCCTGAGGCTGTGGGTTGCATCCAAGAGAATGACCTTCCTCGACAGAGGAGGGCAGCTCTCCAGGAAAAGAAATGGGAGGAACTTCCTTCTTCTGCTGGAACCCCCAACTACAGGTTTAAAATGCTGTGTGTGTGTGTGTGTGTGTGCACATGTGTGTGTGTGTACATCTTTAGTTAGTGAGACCACTGTAGGTGGTTTCAGGTGGTGTTTAGAAGGTATGGTGCTGACTGGAAAGGGTGGCAACAGAAATGATAACTATCCAAGGAGGTGAGGCTTATGCAGTTTGCAAAATGCAGACAAATCGGCATACACCATGTTTTTAAAGTTACATTTAGGTCAAGGAGAAAAATGAAAAAGCCTTACTTAGGCTTCTGATGAAACGGGGAAAGGAAGAAAGCAAGTGTTTTTGACTACCAGCTTAGTGCCAAGCACGGTGGCTGGCACTTTCCAAAAAATTCTTCCATTCAGATAAAAAGAGAGAGCACTCAACTCCTTTTACCTCCTGTTTTCTTGATCGAGGAGAAAGCTGTTTACAGTAAAAATGTATTTGCAAGAGAATTTTAAGATAATTTCCAAGAAAAGTTAGGAAACGGTAAACTCCAAATCAGTTGGTTTCCTGATCCAGATTAATCATTTCCTAGGATTTTCCCCAAATTATTAGAAGACATTGCTGGACCATTGTCATTAGCCATTGAGGAGCTGTAGAGAAAGAGGGAGATGTAATAGAGGCAGAGATCCGAATTCTAGTAGCTGTAGATTGGTGTTTCTGATCTCAGTCCCAGGTGACACCCTAGACTGATAGTCAAGTATATGTTCTGTGAGAAACGGAGGCCACCATGGGTTCCTTGGGGCAGGCATGGCGGGTGACCTCGTGGGTTTGTAAATAGCATCACTATGCTAGAAGCATTAGTGGAATGTTGTAGATATGGGATATAAAAATTTAGATGTGGTGTATTTGATAAAGTCTCTCTTAGTATCCTTATGGAAATTAAGTGTGAAATGCAGGAAAACAGACAATGGATGATGGTTCATTGATGTGGAGACACAATTAGCTCAGTGGCTGATTCCTGAAAATACTGGTTGGTGATTTGAGAGTAGAGGTCACCCTTGAGGAACACCTGCCTTACCTGTTTTGGGCTCAACATTTTTTATCAGTGTCCTGAATAAGGACCATAGATAATAGGCTTATAAAATTTGTGGAAAATGTAGAGTTACTTAAATGTTAGTTAGCAGAACATTGGGGTTGCGGTTGGAGGCCGGGGATGCCGAGGGGAATGATCCAGTTAAGAGGGAAGCAACCCACCGGGATGCGCCACATCAGTGGTGAAGTCCCTCCACATCGACCGCTTGCTGATTTGAAGTGAAAAGAGGGTTCCTCAGTAAGGACAGACTTAACAGAAGTACAATGTTTCCTTTGCAAAAGATGAGTGTTAAAAGGGAACATGCAGAAAAATGATGGCTTACATGGGATGAATAAAGACTTAGCAAACTCTGGCCAGCCATGGTGGCTCATGCCTGTAATCCCAGCACCTTGGGAGGTCGAGGCGGGGGGATCACTTGAGGCCAGGAGTTTGAGACCAGCCTGGCCAACATGGTGAAACCCCGTTTCTACTAAAAATAGAACAATCAGCCAGGCGTGGTGGCCTACGCCTGTAATCCCAGCTACTTGGGAGGCTGAGGCACAAGAATCGCTTGAACCTAGGAGGTGGAGATTGCAGTGAGCTGAGATCGCGCCACTGCACTCCAGCCTGGGCAACAGAGCAAGACCGTCTCAAAAACAAACAAACAAACAAACAAACAAACAAACAAAACTTAAACTCTATGATCCTAAGTAAAAGATAAGAGAAGCAGTTAACTAACTTCCTTTTAGTTAGGTACTCCAGGGTACTACTTTTTGTGATGGCAGACACACTTAAGCTATTTGTAAATGTGTCACCACCTTTTCAAATAATTTCCTTGAAGGTTAACATGTTTTCTCTGAGAAAAATTTATTTAATTAAAAACCTTATGTATATAAGGGCTACAATAAAATTTTCATGGACTCTGAGATGAAAAGACATGTATATCTTCTTGAAGTTATATAGTTAGCAAATGTAAAGGCTATAGGGGTGGATTGTGTATTATGCAACTGCTAAACACTGTCTTGCAATTTGTGTGCGTGTGTTTTGTATTAAACCATGTGCTCCTGTCCTTGCTAGTACAGTGGCTTTTATAATTTTTGAGATGATGCCCATAGTGAGAACCACATTTTTCATAGTGTTCCAGGGTATGCACATATCATATACTCCACACAGAACTGCAACAAAAAACTCAGGAAACAATACTTACCCTAAGATGCTTTCTCATTTATTCTGCTTTATTTGCTTCTATCCTATTTTTATTTAAAAATACTGATGAGAGCTGAGTGCTGTGGCTCATACCTGTAATCCCAGCACTTTGGGAGGCCAAGGCTGGAGGATTACTTGAGCCTAGGAGTTTGAGACCAGCTCAGGCAACATAGCAAGACCTAGTCTCTACAAAAAAATAGGAAAATTAGCTAGATGTGGTGGTGCGTGTCTGTAGTCCCAGCTACTAGGAGGCTGGGGTGCGAGGATCACTTGAGCCTAGGAGTTCAAGGTTACAGTGAGCTACGACTGTGCCACTGCGCTCAAATCTGGGTGACAGAGTGGGGCCCTCTCTCTTAACAACAAAAATAACAACAAAAAAGTGATGAAGACTTTCTCCTTTGATCCTATCAGTCACTATTTTTTTTTTTTTTTTTTTTTTTTTTTTGAGACGGAGTCTCGCTCTGTCGCCCAGGCCGGACTGCGGACTGCAGTGGTGCAATCTCGGCTCACTGCAAGCTCCGCTTCCCGGGTTCACGCCATTCTCCTGCCTCAGCCTCCCGAGTAGCTGGGACTACAGGTGCCCGCCACCGCGCCCGGCTAATTTTTTGTATTTTTAGTAGAGACGGGGTTTCACCTTGTTAGCCAGGATGGTCTCGATCTCCTGACCTCATGATCCACCCGCCTCGGCCTCCCAACAGTCACTATTTTTAAAGCAATGCTCTGGCAGAGACTGAATACACGTTTAATGCTATAGCTGTCTCTTTTCTTCCAAGGAGAAACTGTTTTATGTTATCATCTCATATTACATCATTTTAAATGATGTCAAGTGAAATACTTTGAGATAGAGTTTCTATTTTATAGCTGGAGAACAGGGTTACGGTGAGTGTCATAATTATGAAAAAAGCTGGCATCTTGCCATTGGCTTATGGATCATTTTGCAATGATTTGCCCAAAGCCTGTCAGCCATCACATGTCCAGGAATTAGGGAAAAGAATTGTTGCTTATAGACTCTTAGTGTAGGAAGGACATGTAGAGGTCATCTATTCTAACATCTCACCGAGTGCGGGGGTCCCTTCTGTAGTAGTTTCACAGTTGACCATTCGGTATCTGCTTGATTACCTTCAGAAACAGAGAGCCCACTGTGTTAGTTTTTTATTGTTGCTATAATACATTAACACATATTTCATGGCTGAAAGCAACACAAATACATTATCTTACAGTTTTGTAGTTGAGAGGTCTGTAAAGGGTCTCAGTGGGCTAAAATCAAGGTGTTGGCAGAACTACATTTCTTTCTGAAGGTTCTAGGAGAGAATCCGTTTTCATGCCTTTTTCAGTTCCTAGAGGTTGTTAGCATTCCGGGGCCAGCTATGGAGGTCATGCCATTCCATCTTCAAGACCAGCAATGGCTAGTAGAGTCTTTCTCACATCCTATCACGCTGACCCACAAGTCTTCTGCTTCTTCTATCTGCAACCTTAACCCTCCCTTGACAGGGAAGGTAACATTCACAGGGTCTAGAAATTATGATGTGGGCCCTTTTTTTTGGTGGGGGGCGCGGGGGGCATTGCTGTGCCTGACCACCCCCATCCCATCTCCCCACCTTTTCCCCCTGGCAAGCCAATTCTACTTTCTGATGGTTCTAATTTTGGGAATCACACATATGTTGACTTATGACAATGACTGCTATTCATGCAGCAGGTGAGTTTTTAAAAGAGAAATAAAGGAATCTGCAACCTGGAGATTTTCAACTTTGAGACCACCAGCCGTTTTGAAGGCTGAGACTGAGCGAAAACTGGTAGAAACTAATTCATAGGCAGTAATGTCTCCCTCTACTGGCTGCAGAGTTAACACGTGCATTTTGCAGATAGAAATGCTTGGTGGTTGCCAGAAAGAGGGTAACAATGAGTTTTGAATAAAGAGCCGAGAAGTATCTGTAAGATACGAAACTGGTGGATATCTTAGTTGCACTGTGCTTACTTGGTCACTGTGGAGAAGGTATTTTTAAGGTCGCCACGCCCAGGCCTCGGAGGTTCGGTGGGTTGGGAGGGTTTATAGGGAGTCCTTTGGCAGTTCTGATTTTGTTAGGGATTCAGATCTGCTGAGCCGTGTGAGTTTGGTGTGCTGCCTGTGACTCTCATCCACAGAGGGGAAAGAACTAAGCAAAGGGATGACTTAACAAAAGCTGTTTTGCTAAAAAAAAAAAAAAAGCAGACTTATAGATCCTTACTGCTTCATTCTTTTAACACTGAAATTGCAGTAGTTGAGTAAACGCTTTAACATACTTTACTATTATAAGGATGCCTTCATTTTGGAGAGATGAAAATTTAATTGAAGACCAAAACCAGAAAGTTTAAGGAATTACATAAAAATATTAACGTCATTGTTTTTGTGCTAAGTTCCTCAAATGCGTTCTAAATATTAAACTGAATGAAAAAATCAGTGTAGACAGTTTTTCAAATTAAAGTTCTTTGTAAAAAACAAACATGTATCATAAAATAAGTATTACTTTTTCCTTTCGTGCCTATTTTGGTTTTATTTAAGCATGGGCAGGAAGAGACCTTGTTACTTATAAATGAAAATATCCATTTTCAAAATGTCACTTTCTGTAATGTACAAAACTGAGTAAGTGTTGGCAAAGACATGTGGCAAGAAGAGACCTTTGTTACTTAATAAATGAAAATATCCGTTTTTAAAGTGCCACTATCTCTAATGTACAAAACTGAGGCCGGGCACAGTGGCTCACGCCTATAATCCCAACACTTTGGGAGGCCGAGGCGGGCGGATCACCTGAGGTCAGGAGTTTGAGACCACCCTGGCCAACATGGCAAAACCCTGTCTCTACTAAAAATACAAGAATTAGCCAGGCATGGTGGCGGGCGCCTGTAATCCCAGCTACTCGGGAGGCTGACGCAGGAGAATCGCTTGAACCAGGGAGGCAGAGGTTGCAGTGAGCCGAGATCATGCCACTGTACTCCAGCCTTGGCCACAGAGTAAGACTCTGTCTCAAAAAAAAAAAAAAAATTGAATAGTTGGCAGAAAACCCTGTGGTGGCCATGGAGGTGTGCCACTCAGCTGTCCTTCCAGGGAACTTGCTATGAGAGTAATTGGTGACAGTCTTCAGCTATGGAGGTCATGCCAAACCTACCGTCTACTGGGGCTGCCCCCAGCTGATGACTGGGCATGGTGAGGGGAGCTGGAGCTGAGCCCTCCATGCCCCTCTTGGGACTCTTCTGATGGGCAACCTTTTATCTCCCTCCCTCCTACCCCATCAGCCTGGCCAAGGCTTTCTCAGAGCTCCACTGCAGTCTGAGGCTCCTTCTCCATAATCCTCCTTCCTTCCCTCTTTCTTCCACAGGTGTCAGACCTCCATCTGGGTCTGAAGGTTGTCTATGCCTACTCCTCCTTTTTCCCTTCATCCTTCCTAGGTATTTCTCCCAGAAAACCACTGGCAGTTCTAATTCTGTCTTGGAGTCAGCTCCTTGAAGGATCTGAACATGTACCTGTGTAAAGACTTATGGAAAGAATTTTTATTTTATTTTTTTTATTTATTTATTTTTTTAAATTTATTTTTTATTGATAATTCTTGGGTGTTTCTCACAGAGGGGGATTTGGCAGGGTCATAGGACAATAGTGGAGGGAAGGTCAGCAGATAAACAAGTGAACAAAGGTCTCTGGTTTTCCTAGGCAGAGGACCCTGTGGCCTTCCGCAGTGTTTGTGTCCCTGGGTACTTGAGATTAGGGAGTGGTGATGACTCTTAACGAGCATGCTGCCTTCAAGCATCTGCTTAACAAAGCACATCTTGCACCGCCCTTAATCCATTTAACCCTGAGTGGACACAGCACATGTTTCAGAGAGCACAGGGTTGGGGGTAAGGTCACAGATCAACAGGATCCCAAGGCAGAAGAATTTTTCTTAGTACAGAACAAAATGAAAAGTCTCCCATGTCTACTTCTTTCTACACAGACAGGGCAACCATCCGATTTCTCAATCTTTTCCCCACCTTTCCCGCCTTTCTATTCCACAAAGCCGCCATTGTCATCCTGGCCCGTTCTCAATGAGCTGTTGGGTACACCTCCCAGACAGGGTGGTGGCCGGGCAGAGGGGCTCCTCACTTCCCAGTAGGGGCGGCTGGGCAGAGGCGCCCCTCACCTCCCGGACGGGGCGGCTGGCCGGGCGGGGGGCTGACCCCCCCACCTCCCTCCCAGAAGGGGGCGGCTGGCCGGGCAGGGGGCTGACCCCCCCACCTCCTTCCCGGACGGGGCGGCTGGCCGGGCGGGGGGCTGATGCCCCCACCTCCCTCCCGGACGGGGCGGCTGGCCTGGCGGGGGGCTGACCCCCCCCACCTCCCTCCCGGACGGGGTGGCTGCCGGGCGGAGACGCTCCTCACTTCCCAGACGGGGCGGCTGCCGGGCGGAGGGTCTCCTCACTTCTCAGACGGGGCGGCCGGGCAGAGATGCTCCTCACCTCCCAGACGGGGTCGCGGCCGGGCAGAGGTGCTCCTCACATCCCAGACGGGGCGGCGGGGCAGAGGCGCTCCTCACATCCCAGACAATGGGCGGCCGGGCAGAGACGCTCCTCACTTCCTAGATAGGATGGCGGCTGGGCAGAGGTGCTCCTCACTTCCTAGGTGGGATGGCGGCCGGGCGGAGACGCTCCTCACTTTCCAGACTGGGCAGCCAGGCAGAGGGGCTCCTCACATCCCAGACGATGGGCGGCCAGGCAGAGATGCTCCTCACTTCCCAGATGGGGTGGCGGCCGGGCAGAGGCTGCAATCTCGGCACTTTGGGAGGCCAAGGCAGGCGGCTGGGAGGTGGAGGTTGTAGCGAGCCGAGATCACGCCACTGCACTCCAGCCTGGGCACCATTGAGCACTGAGTGAACGAGACTCCGTCTGCAATCCCGGCACCTCGGGAGGCCGAGGCTGGCGGATCACTTGCGGTTAGGGGCTGGAGACCGGCCTGGCCAACACAGCGAAACCCTGTCTCCACCAAAACCAGTCAGGCGTGGCGGCACGAGCCTGCGATCGCAGGCACTCGGCAGGCTGAGTCAGGAGAATCAGGCAGGGAGGTTGCAGTGAGCCGAGATGGCAGCAGTACAGTCCAGCTTCGGCTCAGCATGAGAGGGAGACTGTGGAAAGAGAGGGAGAGGCAGACCGTGGGGAGAGGGAGAGGGAGAGGGAGAGGGACTGGAAAGAATTTTTAAATCCCTTCAGAAAGTTGTTCAATTTCCCTCTGCCAGTGATAGCAAAGAAGGTGGTATAGCTAGAGTAGGGTGAATAAGGGAGTGAGTGGTAAGAGATCAGAGAGAGGTGGCAGTGCAGATTGTGTAGGACCTCTTTGAGCAGTTTATTAATTTGGACCATGACTTTGAGTAAGTCAAGCCATCAGAAGTTTTGAGCAGAAGAGTGACATGATCTCAGTTACATTTTAGTAAGGCCACCGTGGCTGCCAGAATAGACTGAATGGCAGGGATTGGGAGGTCGGGATGGGAAGGACCAAAATACAATCACAGAGAACTGCTGCAGCTGCAGAGAGCTGTTGCAGTGATCCAGGGGAGGAATGGTAGTAGCTGGCATCAGGATGCTAGCAGGAGAGGTGGAGAAAAGAGGTTGGATTCCGGATATATTTTGAATATAGAGATAACAGGAACAGAGGTTGGATATGAGTAGAAAAGGTGTTAAAGAAGACTTTAAGGTTCTTAGCCTAAGCGATTTGAAGGATAGAGCTGCCATTTTCTGGTGTGGAGAAGATTGAAGGAAGAGTAGCTTTGAGTGGGAAGAGGAAAAGTTTATATTTTGACTTGTTAAGTTTGAAATACATTTTAGACATTCAAGGGCAAATGGAGAACAGGTAGTTGGACATCTGACTACTTTCTGCCACCCCCACTACAACCTTCCCAGCCCAAGGCACTGCCTTCTCTCATCTGGATTACTGCAGTGCAGTAGCATCCCAGCTGGTATTCCTGCTTCTGCCATTGTCCCTTTTCTATTTCCACGCAACAGCTAGAGTTAGTTCCTTGAAAATATAAGTCAGACTTCTGCTTCATGTATTGATGGACTAGGCATTTTGGACACATATTCCTGTTGAAGGCAACCAAGAAGCCCAGATAAAGTCTTTGAAAAAATCTACTTGAAGACAGATGTTAGTGATGGCTAATAATATGATGAAGAATTACTGTCCAGGATTCGGGAGAACATGGAAATCAAGAGAGGAGAAACTGACATTCGGATGCATTTTTCTGGAGATGTACACTTAGTCTAGAGAATGTTGCTGAGAGTTCTAGAAGCAATTTTGACAGATTGAAGAGTCTGCAGGAATGCAGATCTCTCTTCAGCATGACACTTGCCAAGATATGGAATCCACCTAAGTGTCTATAATGGGTAAAGTATGAGATATATATATGTGTGTAGCATAATGATATATATAATATATATAGTATGATATATAGTATGATATAGTATAACATATATAGTATAATGATACATATATATAGTATAATAGTATAATGAAATACTATTCAGCCATAAAAAAGAATGAAATTCTGTCATTCTTGGCAACATGAATGAACTATGAGGACATTATGCTAAGAGAAATAAGCCAAGCATCTGAAGAAAAGTGCCACACATCATCTCACTTATATGTGGAATCTAAAAAAGTTTAATTCATAGAAATGACTAGTACAATGGTGGTTTCCAGGAGCTTGGCTGGGGTTAGGGAGGACATGAAATGGGGAGATTGTGGTCAAAGAGTATGAAGTTTCAGTTAGATAGTATGAATAAGTTGTGAATAAGTTCTGGAGATCTATTGTACAGCATGGTGACTATAGTTAATGTATGCTTGAGAATTGCTAAGAGAGTAGATCTTAAACATTCTTACTACAAAAAATAGGTATGTGAGGTGATAGATATGTTAATTAGTTTGAGTTAATCATTTCACATTATATACATATGTCAAAACATCACGTTGTACACAGCAAATATACATAATTTTTATTTGTGAATTATACCTTTATAAAACTGGGGGAAGAGTAAAAAAGAGAGTATGGAGGAAAATGTGAAATTCAAAGCTAGCTAAGGGGTTATCCTCTGTGTTTGGGATTGGTTCCCTAGAGAACTACATAACTAGGAAAAGAGTGAACTGAAAATAGACCAATAGCCTGGCTATTACAGGGCCTTATGTCCCCTTAAAAATCATCTCACTAGGTTGGGCACGGTGATTCACACCTGTAATCCCAGTACTTTGGGAGGCTGAGGTAGGTGGATCATGAGGTCAGGAGTTCGAGACCAGCCTGACCATCATGGCATAACCCCATCTTTACTAAAAATACAAAAATTAGCCAGGCGTGGTGGTGTGCACCTGTAATCCCAGTTACTCAGGAGGCTGAGGCAGGAGAATTGCTTGAACCCAGTGAGCTGAGATGGTGCCATTGCACTCCAGCCTGGGTGACAGAGCGAGACTCTGTCTCAAAATAAAAAAAAAAAAGTCATCTCACTAACTGACAGTAGACTAAGGTGATCCTGGATTATGATCAGGCATCTAGCAGAAGTAAATGTTAATTTTCTCTAGAGAAAGATAACATCGCCATATGCCTCAAATTATTTATATGATCAATTTTTTTAGATACAGGGTCTTATAGAAATCTAAAATAGCCCAGCTGTTCCCTGGCAGATGGGAAAGGAATTCTGAGAAAGTCTCATCTCTGAGACAGTCACACAGGGCTGTCTAAGACTGAGGCTAGGGTAAGAGAAGTGAGAAACTCTCCTGTCTCCACTCTGAGCTTTACACCAAGTAAAAAGCAACACTATTGTACTGCTGAGGAGGGGCAAAAGCCAGAGAAAGATAGCCCCTGGCACAGATGAGCAGGGTCTGCTGAAAGGGAAGGTGAAGCAGGAATACTGAGAAAAGATACCCCAGGCCTCACACTAAGCCCAAGATAATGACAGTTCCCCCTGGGAGGAATTTGAAGTCTGTGGAACACTGAAGGCAACTTCCTGTAGTTACAAAACTCAAACCCAGTTTAACTGTATACTAGATCAACTCAACTTCTCACACTAATGGCCTGATAGAAGAAAAGGCATGTACATTTCTGGTTGTAAATATTATTATCTTTGATTCTCTTAAATGGAATGTTTAGTATTCAATAAAACATCATGAGATAAACAAAAGAGTCAAGTGATGGGGTGGGGAGGGGGAACAAGGCCCATTGTCAAGAAATAAAATAGTCAACAGAAACAGACCAAGAGATGGCCCAGATATTTGAACTATTGGACAGGGCCGTTAAAAATAGCTATGATTAATAAGTTGAAGGAGTTCATGGAAAAGGTTAATACTAGGCTTGAAGTGATGGGGAATTTCAGGAGAGGTATGAAAACTGTAAAAGTGAATCAACTAGAAATGCTAGAATTGGAAAACATAATATCAAAGATGAAGAATTGTTTTGACAGGATGGTAGCTAGCCTCTAAGATGGCCTGTAATGATCCCTGCTTTCAAATCTGCATTTTTTTTTTTAGGTAGAGTCTTGCTCTGTCACCCAGGCTGTAGTGCAGTGGCACGATCATGGCTCATTGCAGCTTCGACCTCCAGGGTTCAAGTGATCCTCCCACCTCAGCCTCCAGAGTAGCTGGCACTACTGGCATGCACTACCATGTTTGGCTGATTTTTAAAAAAATGTGTATGTAGGTGGGGACGCCCTACGTTGCCCAGGCTGGTCTCAAACTCCTGGGCCCAAGCAATCCTCCCACCTCAGCCTCCCAAAATGCTAGGATTATAAGCATGAGCCACCGTGTCTGGCCCAAGTATTCATAATCTTGCATACTTTCTTCACACACTGAATAGGGTTGGTCTGTGTAACCAAAAGAATATTGCAAAAATGACTGTGTAATTTCTGAAGCAACATTGTAAAATATATTGTGGCCTTTGCCTTGCTCTCTGTTTGGTGACACGTTCTGAAGGAAACTATTCACTATGTAATGAGGACACTCAAGTAATCTATAGCGGGGCCTGTGTGGAGATGAATTGAGCCTTCTGCCAACAACTAGGACTACATGAGTGAGTCATCTTGGAGGAAGATCCTCCAGCTCTAGCAAGTCCTTTAGGTGGTTGCAGTCCTGGATGACTCCATATTGGTAGTAATGTCATGGCAGATCATGAGCTAGAGCCAGCAGCTTAGGTGCTCTTGAATTCCTGATCCACAGAAACTGTGAGATAGTAAATGTTGATGGCTTTAAGCCACAAACATTTCATTGTGGGCTAATTTGCTATAATAGATGACTAATGCTGATGGACATTTCAGCAGACTGGACACTTCAGAGGCAGAATTGGTGAACTTGAAGAGAGGTCAATAAAAGGCATCCAAACCAAACACAAAGAATGGCAAAAAATGACAAAACTGAACATCACATCTGAGATATGTGAGGAAAATATGAAACCCATGCAGTGGGACTCACAGAAGGAAAAGAAAGGGGTAGAATAAGTATTTTTTATCAGGAAAAATTTTTCTAAAATTAATGAAAGGCAACAAATCACATATCCAAGAAGCTTAGAGAACCTCAGGCAGGGTAAGTACATTGAGAGTAAGGATTGGGAAAATGTCGAAGTGTTAAGGAGAGAAGAAACCTGAAATTGCATGGGATGATGTGAGAGTGAACAGGGAAATGTCACATGATTCTCACTGGTCCCACTTAATGCAGTGTTCAGGTAGAGTTGGGTTTTTTACCAAGGATGGTTTTTTGTCAAGCAAGTAAAGGGAAGGAAGAGAGGGTAGGCACTGAGGAAGCATGCAAGGGAGATCTGTGATGATGGCTGATTGACATGCTCTGGGTAATGAAAGAAGTGAGGACTTCAGAGGAGACAGCGTGGGTTGGGAGACAGTGGGCTGGTGGCAAGATTAGGAATTGTAGGGTTCAGGGGCCAGACAAGTCTGCACACAGGACTTCCGAGAATGTAAGTGAGATGCTTGGAATTGGGGCTGTGGGGGCTGTACTTAGTAAGGTCCAGGGAATGACCTTAGGTATGAGAGATGGAGATCAGGTGGAGAGCGAGGTCACTGGGAAAGAACAAATCAAGAAAGTGACAGACTACTTTCTTGAATGTGATAATCTGTGTGATTTAGACCATTGGTTTAGAATGCATTTCCTAGGCCCCCTTTCTTACTTGATATGAATAAGAGGGAGTAAATGATATGTTTAGTCTCTGGTGAAGACCTAGATATTTTGCTCAGCTCCAGGTTTAATAGGAGGGAGGGTTGAGTTATTTGTTGGAAGTTGAGAGGTCTAGTAGTCCCACTCATTTGGAATGTCTTTATTGTAATTTATGCACAAGAAGAAAACATATAGATACTGTATGGTCAAGATTGGATTGTCATTCCAATTAGACATTCCCCCAGTTGTTTGTCAGGAGTAGGAGAAGAGAGCAACTTGTATAAGAAGTGGGAGTCGGCCAGGCATGGTGGCTCACACCCGCTGACGCGGGTGGATCATGAGGTCAGAAGTTCAAGACCAGCCTGACCAACATGGTGAAACCCCGTCTCTACTAAAAATACAAAATTAGCTGGGCATGGTGGCACATTCCTGTAATCCCAGCTACTCAGGAGGCTGAGGCAGGAGAATCGCTTGAACCCGGGAGATGGAGGTTGCAGTGAGCCGAGATCACGTCATTGCACTCCAGCCTGGGTGACAGAGCAAGACTCCGTCTCAAAAAAAAAAAAAAAACCAAGTGGGAGTCATCCCTTAGTTAGGAAAGGTATGAAAACTTGCACCCTTTTGGTTGTCCACGTTTCCGTTGGTGGTTATTGGAGGTGTTCCCTTGGGTCTGAAGTACCAAGCTCACTAGGATGACTTCTGAATGATTCACCGCTGATCTGACTGATCCAGCACTTGTGATACTTGGAGGACATTGGGCAGCTTCTGAGACACTGTGGTTCAGGAAACCTTGAAGTTCCTGGCACAGAATCCACACTGGTAAGCCTCACTGGTCCCCTGGCTTGGCACACATTACTGAGAGAGTCCCTCCCTTAGAAAGAACAACCACTGATTTCTGGGTGTTCAGTTATTTTTTTTAATCAGTGTATTTGTCCATGTTCATGCTGTTAATCAAGACATACCTGAGACTGGGTAATTTACAAAGGAAAGAGGTTTAACTGACTCACAGTTCCACGTGGCTGGGGAGGCCCCACAGTCATGGCGGAAGAGCAAGGGATGTCTTATATGGCAGCAGGCAAGAGAGAGCTTGTGCAGGGAAACTCCCCCTTATAAAATCATCAGATCTCATGAAACTTATTCACTATCACAAGAACAGCATGGGAAAGACCTGCCCCCATGATTCAGTTACCTCCCACTGGGTCCCTCCCACATGTGAGAATTGTGGGAGCTACAATTCAAGATGAGATTTGGGTGGGGACACAGCCAAACGATATCAATCAGTTTGTCTGATGTTCTCTTTAATGATAATCTATGTAAAGATGATCAGGGTGAAATAGAATTTAATACTTCCTTTCAAAGCAAGTGGTCAAAGGTCAAAATATTTGATTCTATCATAATCAAGTGCCAGGGATTGTTGTAAGCAATCTATTAACTTCCTTAATTCCCAAAACACTCTGTGATGATTTTTATCATCCCTGTTTTACAGATGGGGAAATTGAGTCATAGATCAAGTAAGTGGCAGGGCTGTGATTTAAACCTAGATAATGTGGCCACAAACTGTTAGCCTCAATCACTGTATGATCCTGTGCCTCATGGTGGGAGGAAAAATGGACATGGAATAGAACCATGCTGATAACTCGAAAATGCAGCCAGAATCTAGAAAACATAAAACTTGGGTCAGTTTCATTTAACAAGTAAGCTGTTTGCAACATATTTAGTATGCAAGTCCCTGGTGGTAGATGACGCATGCTTTCAATGCCTTATGTAAGGTTACTCAGATACATTTCATTTATTTTCAGGTATCTTCAGGAAATCTTAGTAACAGCAACCAAGGAAGGTGCAGCATCACTTTCCAGTTATCTTGTAATAGAATATCATGAGGCAAGTAAAAAAAGTCCCTGTAATAGACTATCTTGGGGAACAGAAGTTTCTCATTGTTCTCCTGGGCTACAGATTCTAAAATCACACTGTCCAGCATCCCCTTGTTGGTTTTTTTTTTATTTTTCTTTTTTTTTTTGATACAGAGTCTCGCTCTGTTACCCAGGTTGGAGTGCAGTGGCACGATCTCGGCTCACTGCAAGCTCCGCCTCCCAGGTTCACGCCATTCTCCTGCCTCAGCCTCCTGAGTAGCTGGGACTGCAGGCACCCGCCACCACACCTAATTTTTTTTTTTTTTTTTTCATTTTTAGTAGAGATGGGTTTTCACCTCCTTAACCAGAATGGTCTCGATCTCCTGAACTTGTGATCCGCTCGCCTCAGCCTCCCAAAGTGCTGGGATTAGAGGCATGAGCCACCGCGCCCGGCCCCCCTCGTTGGTTTTAACTGTGTGTATTTTACAATGAGTTTTCACTTGTAGCTTATTGAAGGTCTGTCATTGTGATAGATTTGTCTTTTGTACAGCTTTTGCTTTCACACATGGCATCTATGTGGATACCTCTAGAGAATCTTTCCTATGCTGAATGCAGCCTTTTGAGTGGACGATGTGAAGCCAAGAGAGAGGGCAGAGAAGAGGTGGTGTGTGCAGGGGCATTAGTCTGTGGCTACTCCTCTGCTTGGCCATGGGGCCCCTGGGGAGTGCTGGAGTGGCCCTGGCCTGAGCAGGGCCACAGAGGCCCCACTCATTTCCCACTGCTGTTGTGCAGGAAAGCCACTTTGCTTCCCTTCTTCTTCAGATCCTCTTCACTGGCTGTTGAGAAGGAGAGATGCATATAATTACCAACATAACTTGAGTGTCCATGACAAATGACCCTTCCAGCACTCTCCTAAACCACCAGCTTAGCCCGTTGAGTTTTACTAATGCTGTTTGATGCAGTGATAAAGCGGAAACATTGCTCTGCTACCTGCCCAGGATAGCATTGCCATGTAAAGGGCAAGTGATGTGGACTGAGACCACCATAATGCAGGTCTTCTTGGAAAAGTATCTAATGCAAGGCAGAGTTGCATAAGGGGCTGAATAACCCTGGGTTATTCTTACTGTGAAAAATTCCCCTACTTTTTTCCCGTAGTTACCTGGGCTATATAAGAGGTATGCATGCTATGCAGGGGCCTCTGAGAGCTATAAATGACATAGGGTCAAATTGAACCATTTTCCCACCGACTGGGGTGTCAGAATCCCAACCAGCATGTGAAGAACACACCCTGCCTCCTCCAGCAGGACTCAGACAGGCCTCCTGTCTCGCACAGTGGTGGTTTAGAATGCATGTTGAATGCTTGGATCTTTCTAGACCAGGCTGTGTATGGGAAGGGGAATATTGGCAAGAGGGAGAAGGTTTTCCTGTTCAAGCATACTACAATGGGAAAGCAAAGTTATGTTTCTTAGTACATCAACAGTTATAGGTTGGTGGTTAAAAAAGATGCTGAGCAGGCTGGGTGTGGTGGCTTACGCCTGTAATCCCAGCACTTTGGGAGGCCGAAGCAGGCAGATCTCCTGAGGCTAGGAGTTCAAGACCAGCCTGGCCAACATGGTGAAACCCCATCTCTACTAAAAATACAAAAAATTAGCTGGGCATGGCGGCGAGTACCTGTAATCCCAGCTACTCAGGAGGCTGAGGCAGGAGAATTGCTTGAACCAAGGAGGCAGAGGTTGCAGTGAGCCGAGATCATGCCACTGCACTCCAGCCTGGGTGATGGAGCAAGACTCCATCTCAAAAAAAAAAAAAAAAAAAAAAAGATGCTGAACAAAATATTCTAGATTCCCGTAGCCAGTGGCTCTACCATACTGTTCATGGGCTATACTATGGACTTTGCAAAAGTTTACTTTACTTCATGAATCATCCAGTAACATGATTTGTGTGTATGTGTGTGGTCCTCATTGTGACCATGAATTTCAGTCCCCTTAAGGAACAATTATTTCTTTGCTGGTGGAAGGAGCCTGGGTCAGTGACAGTGGGGCATGGTACTTACCCCTCCCATGGTCTCTGTCACCTTGTCATCATGCCTTTGTGCTGGTGGGGCTGACCTCTAGTTCTCTAGCTGGAAAATAATTTATAAGAGAGCAAGCATGGGGGCATAACAGTGCAGATGTTAAGGCTTCTAATATCTACTGTGAGATATCCTTTCCTCAACTCATAATTTCTTGGTGAGGAGGAAGAACAGGCGTGAACCTGAGGGTTGTGCTTCGTTTAGACTTGACAAGAATGTCAAAGAGTTTATGATCTTGCAATAAATGTAATTTTCCGTAAATTGGTAGCAAATGATGTTTCTCGAAGGGGAGTCCCCTAGAAGAATGGGTTATCTTTGAAAGCAGTGCTTCTGTTTATCTGTACAGATAAGATGTGCGACGTGGCATCCATTTGAATAAGTAGGAAGGATCAAAGGAAGATAATTCTACTCTTTATTTGTCATCTTTAGATTGATTTTAAGTAATTTTTTTGTAAGGCAAAGATCTCTCATTTAATACTGATAAGTTGCGTGGGAAAATATTTGTTTTTAACCTTTCTTATTATGAAATGTAAAATCCACACAACATCTAGAAACAGTTAAATAACAAGTGAACACTTTTTAAATCATGACCTGAAATAGAACTTTATGAGTATCACAGACTCTCAACATGCTTACCCCTTCCCTAATAGATAGCCACTATCCCAACTTTTGTGATAATCATTTATTTGTGTTACTTTTTAATTTTACCACTTTTGCACTGGATATATTTTATTTTATTTTATTTTATTTTATTTTTTGGGACTGAGTCTTGCTCTGTCACCCAGGATGGAGTGCAGTGGCACAATCTCGGCTTACTGTAGCTTCTGCCTCCTGGGTTCAAGCGATTCTCCTGCCTCAGGCTCCTGAGTAGCTGGAATTGCAGGCGTGTGCCACCGTGCCCGGCTAATTTTTGTATTTTTTGGTAGAAACGAGGTTTTGCCATGTTGCCCAGGCTGGTCTTGAACTCCTGAGCTCAGGTGATCCACCCACCTTGGCCTCCCAAAGTGCTGGAATTACAGGCGTGAGCCACCATGCCCATCCTGGATATATTTTAAAATGCACCCTGAAGGTGTTTTATTACTGATTTTGTTGTTGTTCTTGTTCATTTAGTTCTGCTAGAAAGAACCATGGCCTAGGAGACAAGAGACTGTGATTATTTTTATTCTCCAGCTCAATCTAGTTTTGTCATTTAAAGTCTCGGGGCTTATTTTCTTATATGTGGAAAAATAAGTGGGAAATTTTTTATTAGATTGGTGGTTTCATAATTATTTTCTTTTAAAAGTCAGATGAAGTTTATGAAACCACAATATAAAAACAAACTATTTATTTTCTAAGTTCAGATGTATACAGTTTACTCATTATAAAGTCAACAAATGAGAACACATTGACATGCTGGCAGTATTCAGCATGTAAACATTTGGAATCTGGAGTCCCCTAGCTTAAAAGTAATTCTACTTTAAAAGTATGTAATAGTTGAATGTGCCAAAGCCAATAAGCACATGAGAAGATGTTCAACTTTGTTAGTTATTAGGGAAATGCAAACTCAATCTGCAATGAGATACCACTTCACATCCACCAGAATGACTGTAATAAAGGCAGACAAGTGTTGTCAAGGCTACAGAGAAATTGAAACTCTCATACACTGCTGGGGACCTGGTATAGCTGCCACGGAAAACAGACTAGATTTCCTTCAAAGGTGAAATATAGAGTTACCATATGAACCAGCAATTCCACTCCTATATATACCCTAGAGAAATGAAAATATATATCCACACAAAAACTTGCTCATGAATGTTCCTAGCAGCATTATTCAGCCAAAAAGTGAAAACAACTCAAATGTCCATCAGTTAATGAGTGGATGAGCATGATATGCTGTATCCATACAATGGAATGTTATTTGGTCATAAAAGGGAAAGGAATACTACCATATATACTACCACATGGATGAGTCTTGAAAACATTATCCTGAGTGAAAGAAACCAGTCACAAAGGACAACATCTGTGGGATTCCACTGATATGAAATATCCAGAATAGGCAAATCTATAAAGGCAGAAAGTAGATGAGTGGCTGTCAGGGGCTAAAGGCAGTGGGAGGATTGGGTGGCTAAGGGATGCAGAGTTCCTTTTTTGGGGGGATAAAAATGTCCTTAAATTGATTGTGGCAATCAACTGTGTACTTTAAATGGGTGAATTGTATGGTTTATGAATTATATCTCAAGCCATTATTTAAAGAGTTGAATGTGCAAAAGTGAGATCATAGTCTTACATGATATTAAGTAGGGAGTGAGTGGTAGAGAGGAAAGATCCTGTTCCTGAGAAGAAGATACCATGACAATATCTCTGTGAGAGGTACTTGGTGTCTATCTCATGGGTTCCTTTTCTTCTACACTGTTTATGACTAGAGTCACCTCTTCTGGCATGCCTACTGCCTAATGACTGTCTTCATTACCACTAACATTCATATCTCCAAAATATTTCTATTTAGATTCATTTTTACACAGCGCAAAACACTAACAGATTCAAATAATTTGACAGACTCTATGGTACTGAAACTATGGTGGCTTTGACGAAATGGAATCATTGTCTGGCAGGCAGTGCTGTGTGACGTGCTAGCTCACAACGTGTGTGCAGAGATGCAGGCGAGTTAACACTCAGTGATGTGTAGGCGATGTGTGCCTGAAAGTGAGGTTTGTTCAAGAGCTAAACATAGAAAAGTGGATGACTGTCTGACTCTAACACATTTGAATGTGTATGTTTCTGTAAGAAGAGTTTTGATAAGTTCGAAATCTAAAAAAAGAAATCAGAATGAAGTGTTCATGGAACCCTGAAGCACCGTTGCAGAACAGTTTGTAAACCACAAAGTTTAATTACACCTAACGTCTTTTTTGGCTTTCATATTTTATTGTTTTATTTCATTTATAGCTACATTTGAATATCTGTTTATCAGCTTTCATCCAAAAGACTTGATGGATTGATTTCTGATATGTGCCATCTTGGTAGGGTAATTATTGTGCTTGATTATTTAGACAGTAGAGCTTAAAATTAACTTTAGTGGTATTGCATAATGGAAACTTTTTATAAGGCCATGCAAATTTATTATTAAGTGAATCATCACAAATTAAGTTGTGACTAGTTCACCGCTCTGTGAACTTGAATTCTCTCTTGCAGAACACACAACACTGATGCCCCAATTGGGGGTGTCTGAAATACCCCAGCACAAAATCCATTTACTCACAGAACTTATTTATGTTCTCCTTATAAAATTGGAGACAATAAAGGCTTAATTAGGGATAACATGTTCAACTTTCTCATTTCCAGATGTGTAAATAGAGTGAAATCAGGCACTCCTAGTTGGTGGAGTTTGTTGATAAAATCTTTGAGATAATTTTAGGAATTTGGAATTAGACCATATTTGTTCCTGGGGAAGTGGATTAATTATTATAAGCTTACTCTGAACCATTACAGGTGTCTTTGACTTACCTTGGACCATAGGATTTCTCTGGAGTATCTGCATAAAGTCCATCTATAATACAATGACCTGGCCTCACCTTACCCAGCCTCTTAGTATCCTTCAGATATGCAGAGCTAGGCCGAGCTCAGTGTCTTCTTTATTAGCAGCTGCAGATTAGGGAGTGCATCTGCTGTGTTATAGTCACTTTTGGAAGCATAATGCAATGGATTTATGTATTGTCCTGTTTAAGGACATTTATATTGTTTCATTTTAAAATTTTTCTCATAGAAAATCATTCTGCAATGCACAATCTTGTACATGTCTTCTTGTGCAAAGTGTGAGAACAGCTTCTGGATGTATTTAGGAATGGAATTGCTCAGAAATAGAGCATGCACATATTTTGTTTCTTTTTCTTGTCTGGCTGTAGCTGCTAGAATTTCTAGTACCATGGTTTATAGAAACAATGTTGGTAGGTGTCCATGTCTCCTTCCTGACTTCAAGAGGGATTTCTAATGTTTCATCATTAATTAATGTGTTTGCTGTAGGATTTTGGTAGAATCTCTTTGTTGGGTAAAGGAAATCTTCTTATTCCTTGTTTGGTGAGAATTTTTATCGTAAATGATGGTTGAATTTTTTCAAATTCCTTTTCAGACAACTTGTTTTGATCCAGTCCTCTGAGATCTTCCTAATGAGGCGTCCCCCAAATTGCCTATCATCTCATGTTTATGGGGTAGTCTGGGACCTTTAGTGACTTAAATTTAGCCTTCATGTCTTGGGTGCAGTTGTTAAGAGAAAAACTGGGGAGTATAATGCCTCCCCTGGTTCCCCAACTGGGAAGATGTCCAGAGACCAAGGAATGACTCAAACAAGTCCAGCTTGGCAAGCGGATGAGTTTATTAAGACTTACATATGGGGACCTTCTGGGCGGCAGCGGGACAGCTTTAGAGATCGGCCCTGCCTGCCATTTTTAAGCTGCTTTTAAGCTAATTTTCTGGCTCTTTGCCTACAGTGTGTGTGCAATGGAACTCTTTTTGCTATGTTCCCGGATCCTCTCCAGGATGTTTGGGTTCTCAGAAACACCTTCTTCTTGGCTGGGCACTATGGCCTTGGTTCACCACTTGGACCTCAGGGTTCAAGCAGTGGACATATGCCCTTAAGTAACCTGATGGGGGACCTGTCACACTACAGAAGTCATGTAACTTTCAGTTAACAACTGTGCCAGGATTTTCACTTCCCCAGGACACTTGTGGGATTTGCAAACAACAGATCCCTTCTTACAGCCAGCCAATCAGATATATTCTTACCTAAGTGGCTCCTCACTGGAGATGCCTTATGACCAGGTGGGGCCCCCATTGCCCTGACTGCCTCCTTGGGTCTTTCTGAAGCCCTGGGTGGCTGTCCTCAGCTTCTTGGGCATGTAGGGTGGCTCCAGCAGCCTGAGGGAAGGCATACACACTTGAGCACACCTGAGAGGGGCCTGAGCCCCGCTCTGTCCTATTTCTCATGTTCTTATGCTGAAGAGTTTGCCAGGAGCTTGTATGAAACTGAAGTGCTAGAGTCTGTTATTCATGGACAAAAAGGGGAATGCTGTATTTTTGGTAATATCCCAATGCCCTATCTAAAGGAAAGTCAAACAAGGCTGGAAGCTGGGGCTTTGAATTAAGAAAATGGCCTCATGCTCCATTTATCTAAGGTAAATTTGAAGAACACTTCTGGGGCTTGGGTCCCTGGGAAGGAAGCAATATGGTAGGATAAAGGAGAATACCCAGTAATCTGGGGTGTACCACAGGGCATGGAGGAAAGGGGAACCCTACAACCTGACTGCTGCAGTGCTGCCAGGGTTCCTGCCACCCTGTGATGAGGAGCTCTTCATTGGTGGGGCAGTTGGGAAGAGCATGCTGCTCTCTTTGGGCAAAGAGATTTCCCATGTCATAGACTTTGATCTCGTCCGCACTGTGAGCTCCAGGTCAGACACACAGAGGGACCGCTAAGCCCTAGAGTGCAACACTTCACTGCCCATTAACAGTTTATTTTATTTTTGCCTGCCCTTGTTTCACTGGAAGCTAGGTATGGAGAGAGAATGCCAGAGGTATCATTACCTCTCACTTTTCTCTAATACAGATGGAAACCAGCATTGCAGGTAATTTCGGGGGCCTCTCGGTAGCACCGGCTCCCCACTGGGAAAGACATGCATTAGATGCCTGCCTGAAAAACTGGCCGGCTCTCAATAGGTTTAGACTATCGTTCGAACACCTTCTTCCTTGAAAAAAGAAGGTTCAGTAGTTCCTCGGTGTTCTTAAACTTAACATTCACAGTTTGTCTTCAGTGAGTAACCCTTAAGGTCCCTAACCAGAAATTCATAAATTTGCCAGGGCACAAAAGTACCTGCATTTCCCTATTGTTTTGCTGTTCTGATTTGATGATGCAGAAATGTAAATCAATGTGAATCACTATGTAAAACATAAATTGAGTCATTCCTTGAAAACTCTCTGAGAATTCCCATTGCATTTAGGCTGAAACCCAAACTTTCTGACATGAGCTGATGGTAGCCACAGTGTCAGGGTCCCGCCTGTATCTCTGATCTCATTCCATCCTGCTTTGGCTCACAGGGACTTTCTGCAACTCTTACCCTCTCCTCAACTTTGGAGAGCTTTGTCTTTCCAATGTAGACCCTGTAACTCAACTTTGGAGGAGATTCCTCCAAATGCTGTAGCTGCTTTGCCTACAGCAGCCAGTGGCTGGAATTAATGTCCCTGGCTGTCCCCAGCCTCCCATAACTGTCCAGTATGGAAGCATGAAAGCCCAGTTCACGCTTTCACGGGGCAGAACTTACCGTGTAGAGTTCCACTGGAGTCTCCCGTGGCCCCCTTGCTTGGTTTTCACCCCATGCCTGTCTTGCTTTGTCCACACCCTCACTAGCCTCCTAGGAGCACTTCCTTCCTAATCCTCTTGCACTGGACTCTTCCTTTTAGGGCCCGTGCCTTGGGAATCCAACCTAAAATACATCACCCAACTCAAATACCCCCTGTCTGACCAGTGTTGGGGAAAAAGAACAAAAACCAAAATCTCCCAACCCAGTAAACTACTCTGTAAAGGTAGTAGAAAAAGAAAACAGTTTACTTATTGAATAAATATCCTAGCACTTTGGGAGGCTGACATGGGTGGATCAAGAGGTCAGGAGTTTGAGACCAGCCTGGCCAACATAGTGAAACCCCATTTCTACTAAAAATACAAAAATTAGCTGCGCATGGTGACATGCGCCTGTAGTCCCAGCTACTCAGGAGGCTGAGGCAGGAGAATTGCTTGAACCCGGGAAGTGGAAGTTGCAATGAGCTGAGACTGCGCCACTGCACTCCAGCCTGGGTGACAAAGTGAGACTCTGTCTCAAAAAAGAAAAAAAAAAAATTAGACCAGAATGTGACGCATGTTATAGGCCATCTACTAAAAGAGTGCCAAGACAGAAATCTGACCCTTTTATATAGCCAAGTAGACAGAACCCATTATATACATGTTCTCAAGACAGACTACTCCTTAAGAAAGAGGACTCGACAGCACTATTTGTTACACATAGTTTATGCTAAATTCACCTGGTAATTAGGGTGACCATTGGTGTTAACTCATTCCTATCTTTATGTCAGAAGGTAGTTTTGCAACTTGGAGCCTGGTACCTGCCGAAGTTAGACTGCCGTCTTCCAGTAGAGACTGCGAGATAGGGACACTATCTTCTTTGGATGTTTACATTCCAAAGAGATGTTTCTCAGGTCCTGGAGAAAGACATTTCTGGGTCACAGAGCTGACAGAAACATCATTTAGCTTTTAAAATAATTTACATATATTTCAAAGAGATAAGAAAGAACTTACAACTTTTCTATAGTAAATATTCTAAGAAAAAGGATGGGCAACATCTCTTATTTTTTATCTGTGAGAATTAAACCTCTTATTTTTAATTTTTATTTGTCTTCATACTATAGGTCTAGCTGCCCTGGAGACTCTATCATATTCCTTGTGCTATTTTCCTCAGAGCTTTCTGAATGTTTGATACATACACAATAATAGATGTAACATATACTTAAGTTATAAAGTCTAGTAATAAAGTAAATACGAGTGAAACATGCATCCAACTCGAGAACTGGATCTTGGGTATCCCCTATTCCACCCTCAGACGTCCCCTAACCTGAATTTTGTGTTTATAATTTCCTTGCTTGTACCACTATACATGATTCCCTGGCCAATAGTTCTAAATGAACCCTGTAGTTTAGCTCTGGAGTTGAACAATGAGAACGCATGGACACAGGGAGGGGAACATCATACACTGGGGCCTGTCGGGGGGTTGGGGGAGCTAGGGGAGGGATAGCATTAGAAGAAATACCTAATGTAGATGACGGGTTGATGGGTGCAGGAAACCACCATGGCACGTATATACCTATGTAACAAACCTGCACGTTTTGCACATGTACCCCAGAACTTAAAGTATAATAATAAAAAAAAAAAGAAAAAAAGAAAAAGGTGCACTGTGGGTAGACTCTTGGGACTAGCCGTTTGCAATTAGCATTGTTTCTAAGACACCTATGTGGTTGCATTTAGCTGTGCACGCTCATTTTTGTTACTATCTAAATATTCCTTTATGTGAATATATAAGCATATATCCATTCTCCTGTCTGTGGACAACTGGGTTGTTCCTGGTTTGTGATATGAGGAACATGCTTCTTTGAACATTCCTATTGTATCTCCTGGCGCCATATGCAAGAGTTTTTCTGATGGGTACTCCTAGAGATGGAATTACTGGGCTGTTTTGTTTTCCTATGTATGCCTCTGAAAACATCTTGTTCATTGGCTTGTTTCCTGCTCACTGTCTGTCCACTTGCCTCTGTACCAGTGTCAGCAGGCCTTTGTCTCAGTCTTGGTACATGTTGGATATAGACCTACTATACCCATAAACATGAATGACCCAGTTCTAGATGACCAGTTTTTTGAAACAGACCCTCCAGAAATCAATAACTATCTATTCTTGTAATGGCAGTGAAGAAAAAAAGCAAGGAATACTGGGAAACTGGGATGATTGTTAGCCTGAAAATAGAAGTTTTAAGGGAGGAATTAGATGCCTCAGCTATATTTTTAAACGAGGGGGTTTCTGACTGTCAAGGTCTATTATTAGTTAAAGTTAAAAGGGTTTTCTCTTCCAGCTGCCGCTGTATTTGGGTAAACAAAAATCCTGTGTAAGACTTCAGAATCTCAGTAAGCAGGGTAATGTCGGTATTAATAAAAATGTTAGAGTAAAATTTGCCAAGAGTTAGTGTGTTGATAATAGATATTGACTGCAGAGGGACTATAGCATATATTTGGGTAACAAATTTGATATGTGGTGTTGTGTTTGGTATCATGAAAACATAAGTAATTGTTGAATTTCTCTTAAAAAGCCAGCTCTTTAGAAGGGGTGGGGAGGTTTTATCAGATGGTAGGGTTTGGAAATTTAGGGAGATGTTTAAGTGTAACTTAAAACCTTACTTCGTTGATTCCAGTTGTTTTAACCCCACATTTTTAATTTAGTGTTTGGCTTCTATTGGCTCTAAGTCAACTATCTAATGAACACGGCACTGCTGGGAAGGGGCACTGCCGAATTTAGCGTATGGTTTGTGTCTTGGAGAAAGTTGTTCAGTTGACTTGGAGAGGAATGCGTGGGAATGCAGTTCCAAGAATCACTGACACAGCTCTCCTGGGAACCCACTTCAAATATGTAGATAACATAACAGTCGGCATGCTTGGAGTAAACAATTCCCACTGCTTTGCAGGATGCGCTCCTTCTTATAGCACTTTGTTGTACTGCCAGCTGTTTTTCTTGACTAGTTCAATTGTGACAATGTAAACCTTTTAAAAATGCATTTTTTCACCAGTTTCTGTCCACTAGCAAAAATTTGCTCCTAGCTCCACTGAGAGTTGGGCTTTTTTGAATTGTCATGTTGCCAGTTTTCTTTCACTTGGAGGATGTGTTCATCTATTTCCAGAATGCATTTTAAGTATTACCCTCATCTATTCTAGTAGTTTTGTTCCTGAATTTTAAACTACAGATTAATCATCCCATTTAATCTTTTTAAAAAAGAGATTATAGTTTGGAGACACAGCTTCTTTTGGAATTTCTTTCTGGTTAAAAGTTAGAATAATTGCCTGCTTATAATTAGTTTAGTGTTGAACATACTACTTGTTAAAATCTAAAATTGCCCTTAATTTTATACCAGCTTTAAAGTTTGGGAGCTGCAAATGCCCTTTGTTCTGGGGATGGGGATGATTAATGCCTGGAAAAAACTATGAGCAAACTTCAGGGTCAATCAGACAATAGATATCTCATTATCTATTGAAAATATAGATGTGAAATCTCAGGAAACTCTTTTTACTTAAAAATATTAAGTGCCAGAAAAGATTAAGGCTACTATGCTGAATTGCATATTTACATGAGAGATTGAGAAATCTTTCTTTTTAATTGACAAATTAAATGATTTTTAGAGCATTTTTAGTTTGGGTTAATAATTAAGCAGATAAGTGAGAACTTTGTTAGTCTTGCTAATTTTGATAAAATTCCCTATTTCTATTACTGTAAGAGGAAAAGGGTGTGCACCTGTTCTGGTAATACCAACAGTATCCAATGAAAAAATATTATGAGGGTATGGGGGTAGGGGTGGAAATACACACAAATTATCTGTTGCTTTGTGTATTCTTTTTTCAATCTTTTCCTCTAAACTTGAGCCCCTCACAATTCACGTTCCTTCTGTTCAATGACCATTTTGTATCTTCAGTTTGAATTTATCTGAGAGCAGTCATGCAATTAAGATTTCATTGGTGATCACATTTTAAGTTTCATTATGAGTAACTTTTCACTAAGAGATGTCTGCCAACCTCATGGTGAATACATCATGTAAAATCAGCTCCTGGATTAGAAGAGCCATTTCTTAACATTTGTACATTCTCCTCATGGTATACCTGGCACATTATCCTTGTGCCTTGAATGTTTGTTGAACTGAATCCTTTGCGATCCCGCAACACTGTGGCTATCAGAGAGTCACAAAGTTTAAACTGGATCTAGCAAAGTCCAAGCGAGTATAGTTTCTGCAAAAGCTTCTTATGTTGGGATAACAGTTAGTGATGGGATGTTGGCCAATTTCAATGGTGTTTTATTAAACAGACCTCCACTAGTTACCTTGATTTGGCCTTGGCCTTTTCATGGCACCCTATCTGGTTTTATTCAGGCCAGAGTTAATGATAGTTAGGAAGTCATGTGGTCGAATCATCTGGAAATTTTGCATAATATGACAGTTTTCTCCTGAAGCAAGTTCCACCGCATGTCGTGTCACACATATATTATGGTGGAGATGACATGGGCCTGCAGATGGACTTCGGCTGAAGTGTTCAGGGTCTCATCAAGTCAGATGGTAGGATAAACAAGATAGTTAATAAAACAGCTTTTAACCTCTCTTTTTAAAAGGAGATTGGTTTTCACTGAAATACGTGCACGTGCAGGAACAGAAAACCAAACACCGCATGTTCTCACTCATAAGTGGGAGTTGAACAATGAGAACACATGGACACAGTGAGGGGAACATCACACACTGGGGCCTGTCGGGAGGGCTGGGGGATGTGGGGGAGAGCATTAGGACAAATACCTAATGCATGTGGGGCTTCAAACCTAGATGACGGGTTGATAGGTACAGCAAACCACCATGGCACATGTATACCTACGTAACAAACCTGTGCATTCTGCACATGTATCCCAGAACTTCAAGTAAAAAAAAAAAAATATATATATATATATATATATATATACACACACACATATATATATATATACACACACATATATATATATGTGCATGTGGTATGGTTATTGTAAACACAAGTTTATTGAAAAAGGCAGCATGGGAGAATAGAAAGATTTTGGGTTTTGAAGCCAGCTAGACTTGCATTTCAATCCTGTTTCTGGCTGTGTGGGTTTTGGACAAGCCAATCTGAGCTTCCATTTTTCTCTCATAAAAATAATGATAATTATACCGACTTCGTAGGATTGTTACCAAGTGTCTAGTACACAGTAGGCATTAAATACTAAGACCTTTGTGATTTTATTGTCGTTGGAATTGCCCTGCCCTTTCAGATCTGGATAAGATTGCCTTTGACCTCTATTTTTCAGATTTTGGGAAATCCAGCCCCCTACCCCAAATTTTGTGAATTCTTCAGGTTCATACATTTTTGTTTTCACTTCTGTTCCCAAGCTCTAGCTTCCTCTGAATGAATTTTCCTCTTCGAGTGAGCAAATCAAGTAGGATAAATTGTTCAAAGCATTTCTGGAGTGTTCAGAGAGTCAAATGTATTGGGAGATAATTATACTTTGAAAACTTAGGCAATAATTGATACCAACCATGATAGAGGAAATATTTTTAGAGCTGCATAATTTGTTTGAAAGGTGTCGCTTATTTTCTATGCCTATCTATATCCTTGAAATTTTGGGAAGTTAAAAGACAGTTTTAGTTTGAGGCTAGCCTGAGCAACATGCTGAGACCCCGTCTCTACAAAAAACAAACAAAAACAAAAACAAAAACAAAAAACCAAAAACAAACAAAAAACCCCCGAAAACAAAGCAAGAAAATTTTAAAGGAGGTAGAATACAAGCTTTGAGAAGTACATGGTATGGCTGGTCAGTTTACAAGGGTGTGTTGATGAGATTTAGCAGTTAGGCCTCAAAACATACTTGAAGCCAAGTGCCATAAACACAATAAAATAATGGCTCATTTAATAGGATTAACCATAGGTAGCATTCCAACTCTGAGGGGAAGAATACAAGACAGTAGCAGAAAAATTGTCAAATTCCATTAAGAGTGGAATGAAGGCTTTTTTCTTCTGTGAAGTGTGATGAAGTTTCCCTCCCACACACCTGTTATACATTACCACAATGTATTTGATTAGTTTAACTTTTATTTTGACTTCTCCGTTAATTTCATTGGAACATTAAGATATTTTATAGCTTATCATTGGCTATCCTATTTCCTTGTTTTCATGTGAAATGAAGTCCGAGCTACTTCAATGCTATCTTGAAATGCTGCCTTTCTGGGAATTTTTAGGTGAAGAAGATAGATGTGAGTATTTTCAAATACATGAGCCGTTGCCATGATTAGTTACATATGCTGGCCCATTTTCCACCCGAGATAGCTCATTAGGGGGGTTTTGTGTTATAAGATGAGTTTGAAGGCTCAACTTAATACAGTAACTGCTACTGCTGTTGTATTAGTATTATAAAAGCAAGCAACATTTACTGAGAACTTATATATGCCAGGCACAGTGCCAAGTATTCTCTGTGCATTGTCACTTGCAATAACCTTATGAAGTTCTCTCATTATTTTCCTTTGTTCCTTTCCTTTCCTAGGGTTTGGAAATCTTAAATAACTTTCGCAAGGACATGCAAGTGTATGTAGCAGAGTTGGGCCTCAAGCAAGACCTGTCTGACTTCAGAGGTCACAGTCTTGATCACTGCTCTAGGGCTCTGCTTCTGTAACAGCTGCTTCTTGAGATGTAGGAATTAAGAGGCATGTAAGGAAAGCTAGCATCTGGTTTCATGTTGGATTTGGCTTGGCCCTCAATCTATCAATATCATTGATGGGATGAATTCAGAGGATGGAAGATTCTTGGAAAACAAGTTTCTAGATAGGGCTGGGATGGAATCTTTTCTGTTTTTGTATCCCCGGTGCTTAACCTAATACCTGGCATGTGGAAAGCCCCTGAAGACAGATATGGCAGGCACTTTTCTTGGATTGGCAGTTGAAAAGAACTGAAAACAATGACAACAACAACAACAAAAACACAAAGAACACATAGCATAGTCTGTACAAACATCTCCTGTATTCTATGAAAGAAAAAACTAGAGGTAGAACATAGGCTAATGGGAATATTGAAACTATGGTGCCTTTTCCAGGTTTTTAATCATAGATTTGGAGAATTTGACAATGCCGAGATGAAGCTCTTGAATGTTTTAGCTGGAGGATTCTGGAAATCCTTCTGGAGTTCATGTCTGGAGGAATTAATAGAGAATTCCTCCAGATTTTGGTTTCAAAAGCTTTAATTTTGCTTTTGATTTTCAGGGGTCTACTTAATTCCAAGTGCTCTGGAAGAAGAGTATGCTGATTTGTTAACATGAGGGCCAAGTGTTTAAGTTGGTGGTTTTAGTTTTACTTGGAGAACCTTTCTTCTTTTAGATCTCAGGGTTTCGATTTTGAAAGTGAGTTTAAACAAATACACAGGAGTCACTGGAAAAAGTAGGTTGGGCTGATTAATTTTCATCTAGATTTTAAATTTATGATTCATTTTAGATCTAGGAATCATGGTGCTGTTAGGAAAATAGTTTTAGAGGTTATTTAATTTTGCATTAGGAGTATACTGTGCCTGAGCTTTCATTTTAAGCTTGATATTAAGAAATTCATATTCAGATGCAGTTCTACATTTGCTAGAACTGTCCAGAGACAAAATTATGCTTCTCCCGAAGGGCATTATTACTTACTTGAAACAGAAACCGAGTATGTGCCTGTTCCAGTAATGGATATGTCAGGGTGGAATAATCACCCTAACAGAGGCAGCCACCCAAAGTTTTTGTGTTTTGACTAGAGAAAATGACTCTTAGCGATGCATAAGACACCCCTCAACATGTTCTTTGAATGGTTGCTGATGTTATTTAGCAATAATTCAAATTAAGTGATGTTTCTTGCTGTAAAGAAAAACTGAGCTGTAAGCAGGATAGTGATATGATTATAGAACTCAGTCAGAAAGATCTAAGTTAGGAGTTTGCTACTTGGAATCTATCTGTATTTCCTTAAGACTTCAGTTTTCTCATCTGCTGGGTGAGGATATAAGTACTTGAAAAGGTATACGGTATTTAGCCAGTGCTAACTTAGCCATTGTTTTTGTTGTTGTGTGTAATGATGCAGACGTCATGATGACTGCTGAAGGAGCAGAGGAGGACCTTTACAATCAACACCCTTTAGGAAATGGTGGTGGGCCAAGGACAGAGTCAAAGGTTTTTAAGCAGTGGGGTGTGGCATGGACATTGATCTTGCAGCTATTTTCTTTTCTTTTTAAATTTTACTTTGCTTTAAGTTCCAGGATACATGTGCAGAATGTGCAGGTTTGTTACGTAGATAAACATGTGCCATGGGTGGTTTGCTGCACCCATCAACTCGTCACCTAGGTATTAAGACCCACATGCATTAGCTATTTGCCCTGATGCTCTCTCTCCTCTAGCCCCCACCGACAGGCCCCAGTGTGTGTTGTTCCCCTCCCTGCGTCCATGTGTTCTCATTGTTCAGCTCCCACTTATGAGCGAGAACATGCGGTGTTTGGTTTTCTGTTCCTGTGTTCGTTTGCTGAGGATGATGGTTTCCAGCTTCATCCATGTCTCTGCAAAAGACATGATTTCATTCCTTTTTATGGCTGCATAGTATTCCATGGTGTATATGTGCCACATTTTCTTTATCCAGTCTATCATTGATGGGCATTTGGGTTGGTTCCATGTCTTCGCTATTGTGAATAGTGGTGCAATAAACATATGTGTGCATGTATCTTTATAGTAGAATGATTTATATTCCTTTGGTATATACCCAGTAATGGGATGGCTGGGTCAAATGGGATTTCTGGTTCTAGATCCTTGAGGAATTGGCACACTATCTTCCACAATGGTTGAACTAGTTTACATTCCCACCAACAGTGTAAAAGTGCTCTTATTTCTTCACAGCCTTGCCAGCATCTGTTGTTTCTTGACTTTTTAATAATCGCCATTCTGATTGGCATGAGATAGTATCTCATTGTGGTTTTGATTTGCATTTCTCTAATCATCAGTGATGTTGAGCTTTTTTTCACGTTTGTTGGCTGCATGAAACAAAAATTAACTCAAGATGGATTAAAGACTTAAATGTAAAACCCAAAACCATAAAAACCCCAGAAGAAAATCTAGGCAATGCCATTCAGGACATAGGCGTGGACAAAGATTTTATGATGAAATCACCAAAAGCAATTGCAACAAAAGCTGAAATTGACAAATGGGATCTCATTAAACTAAAGAGCCTGTGGACAGCAAAAGAAACTATCATCAGAGCAAACAGGCAACCCGCAGAATGGGAAAAAATTTTTGCAGTTACCCATCTGACAAAGGTGTAAATATCCAGAATTTACAAGGGACTTGAATAAATTTATAAGAAAAGAAAACCCCATCAAAAAGTGGGCAAAGGATATGAACAGACACCAGCAGCCATTTTCTAAGGGCTTTGGTAACAGTCACTGTGCTGGTTGCTGAATCAGATTTGTGTTTTAAAAAGATGAGTCAGAGTGTGTGTATTTAGACAGGGAAACCAATTAGGATGCTCTTGCATGGGTGAGAGATAGTGAAGGTCTGGACAAAGAGTAGATGTATGTGATGGACAATTTGGAGCAAGAATGAACAAGAGACAAAGCGGTGAAGATTTTGAGATTTGGGGGGAGGGGAAGGAATGAATTAGGAAGAATTAAAGGTTTCTAGTGTTGGCAGTTGAGTAACTTGTGGCTTTATTAATGGATGTAGGACAGATAAAAGGAACAAGTTGGTAGGGGATCAAACAGAAGACAGGGTCTTCCCTAGAAAGTCTTTAACTGAAACCTAAACTGTTCTGTGTGTGTGTGTTTTAAATAACGATGGACCTTTATTACCCATCATTATTCTGGCAGTTCAACTTGGCGATAATATTTCTATAAAATAACTGTGGTGCACTGATGCAATACATTTGGAATAATGAATTTAATGTTGAGTTGAGCTGGCATGGAACAGTTATAGATAGTCTGGGGGATGTGTATGTGTAGCATTTTTTTTTTGCAGGGATAGTTGTTGAAGGTTATAAACTATAATCAATAAATCTTTTTTTTTTAATTTTCCCAATAATTTTGCAGACAATCTGCAAAACCGTTATTTTAGGCCACAGGTAGAAAATGAGCAACATAAATTTAGATGATGCTTCTCTGAATTGTTACATATTTTTCATTTAAGTTACCCCAAGGCTGTGTTTGTATTGGAAATAAAGAAGTGGTTTTCTGCTGTAAAAATACTGTTTTGCTACTAGGCAAACAGGGTTTTTGTTTTGTTTTTTATTCTGAAAAGGTAGATTTTATCTACTTTTAAAATTTTCTGGGTTGGTACTCATGACTTTCAAAAATTTTCATTCTAAAGGACAGTAGATTTAAAGGGTGGATGACCTTGGGAAGCAGCTTTGTCATAAATTGATAAGTGCAATTTAAGAGGGAGATGAGTAGGAATAAAAACTGCAACTTGCAAGAGGGGCTCTGGGCTGCATTGCAGTCACAAGATAACATTGCTAACTTCCAGTGAAATCCCTGGTGGGAAGCAGCTCAGGAGTTATGGATGCGGATTATGAGTTATGTAGTTTTTATGCAAATAAGATTCTGGGCTTCTCTTCAATTTAGATTTACGTTTCCAAACACTCCTAGTGGGGCTGGTTTGGTACTCCATTGTTATTTTATGATGACACAAATAAGAGGCTTTATCCAATGATAAGCGTGTGATTCATTGCTGTTCTGAAGAGCTGTGAGCCGAGTGCTTTGGTGCAGGCAGCCTGAGATATGTTGAAACCTGCAGTGATTCAGTGATGAAGATATCCCTTGCAAGGCTTGAAGGACTATTGGCTGAGGAAAGTCGGTTGCAGCTTATTTTCAGTTTTTGGTTGGTCAGTGAAACACTCCAAACCTGCTTACCTAGCTTTCTAAAAACAATGTAGATTTTCAGGCAGGTGCAGTGGTGTGCCTGTAATCCCAGCTACTCATGAGGCTGAGGAGGGAGGATTGCTTGAGCATAGGGGTTTGAGACCAGTCTGGGCAACATAGCAAGACCCTATCTCAAAAAAAAATGTAGTTTTTAAACTAAAGAATTCAATAATGGCCTGTACAGATTTGGACCTCCGTCCTATCCCTAGAGGGACATTTTATAGACTTCATTATATATAATATATGTTGTTTAAAGTGTATTATATGTATGTATGTTTTTCCTATTTTCTTCTTGTTAGCTTTAAGGATGAAGTAGGATTTTTAAAACAGTTGTTAAAGTTCCTCAAAACAGTTGTTTAAGTTCCTCTGTAGCAGGCCACCATTCTTGTCAGCAATAAAGGTGAAGAATGCCCCATTACAGAAAAGAAAATAAACACTTTCTCATTGTTCATACTTTCTACTCTTGTACTAAGCTTCAGATGCCACTGGGCGCCAGTTGCTTTCCAAGCCTCAAGGATCCTTAGGGATGTTGGGGCTTTCTTTGGTGACTGTTGTCTCCTTGTTTGCTCAAATTAAGCTCCCCAGCAAAAGAGGGAAGTGAAATAAATTAATACATGAAACCAAGAACTGTTACTGAATAATGGTATATATATATTTTTTTCTTTTCTTTTTTTTTTTTTTTTGACAGAGTCTCGCTCTGTTGTCCAGGCTGGAGTGCAGTGGTGCGGTCTCAGCGCACTGCAATCTCCACCTCCCGAGTTCACGCCACTCTCCTACCTCAGCCTCCCAAGTAGCTGGGACTACAGGCGCCCACCACCACGCTCGGCTAATTTTTTGTATTTTTTAGTAGAGATGGGGTTTCACAATGTTAGCCAGGATGGTCTTGATCTCCTGACCTTGTGATCCACCCACCTCCACCTCCCAAAGTGCTGGGATTACAGGCATGAGCCGAATAGTGGCGTATTTAAGAAAGAAAGGGGAAATTAGATTCCATTTTGGAATTTTATTGAGCGGAAAGGATAGATGATTTGATTGGAAACTAAAGGGAGATACTTCCAGTTTTGTATTGGAAGACAAGTTATTAAACTTTCACGAAATAATGTTGATGTTCATTTAAATGTTCTTACAGTTTGTTTCTAAATGATTTAGTAGTTTATGTAGGACCAGCTATTTAATGATCCTTTGATCATTAAATATGCAGTTATATATCTCATTGGGATGAATGGGAATGGCTAGGATTGTTACTGATTCTTGCCCCTAAAAAGAGAAGTTGAATTCAGAATCTCTTAGAAGGCATAAAAATTTACCATCACCATGGCATTGAGGAAGGCAACACAGGCATAAAGTGATCTCATTGTTCAACCTCGTCACCATTTAACCAGCTGTTTCCTTACATATGGTGGCACCCTTTCTGAGAGCCTGTAAGTATTTTTTATAGCCCTAATCATGTGCTGTCCCTCTTAATCCTGGGCATTTACCCTGCTGTTCCCTCTGCTGAACCTCACACATGTGTTCCCTCTCTAACTCTGGTTAGACATTTAGGCTTCTTTCTGTTGGAGAGACCTGCCCTGGTCCTTCAATCGTGGCTTGGGCTCTGTGTTCTCTGACCTCTTCCTCTGCTGTATTCCTGGCCATCATGTCAAGTGTTTCTCAAAATGTGTTCCGTGGGACCCCACCCAGGTGCTATTCTCCACAAAATCTATTCTCAGAAAGTTCTAGAATGGATAGTAAGATAGCTGCACTACATTGTGAAGGTACTAAATGCCACCAAATTGTACATTTTAAAGGTTAATTTTTTTTGTTATGTACATTTTACCACAACACAAAAACATCTTTTGAAAGATGTTTCTCAAAAGAAAGTCTCAGACTCAAACATGTTACACTTACCTCCTGGAGGTTTTACAATGCATATTAGTAAAGAATCTGAGATGTCTTAAAGGAACCCGCTTAATTTTGCTTGATTCAATGTTCCCAAAGCTATTAATAGACTTTAAGAAAATGCACAACTACCTGTTAATGTCCAGCTAGTTAATATTCTTAGGGATACAAATTGTAATTGCCTGCTTAATCATGCTCTCCTATACTAAGTGGTAGGGATGGGACCATATTTGTAGTTCTAGACCAGAGATCAGGATAAGCCTTCAGTAAATATGTATTGAATGAAATGCTTAAGTGAATATAGTAATATGTAGAATGTGGTGGGGCATTGTGAAAGGAACACAGAGTCACAGAGATCAAGGGTTCAATCCTCCCATGATCACATTTAGCTGTGTAACCTTCAGTGAGCCACTTGAACTCTGACCTTTGATTTCATCCTGTATTAAATGGAAATACACCCCAGTTAAAATGGCGCTTATCAAAAAGACAAAATAATAGATGCTGGCAAGGAGGCAGAGAAAGGGGAATGCTTGCGCACTGTTGGTGGCAGTGTAAAGTAGTACAGCCACTGTGGAGAACAGCATGGAGATGCCTCAAAAAACCAAAAATAGAACCACCATACGGGCCGGGCACAGTGGCTCACGCCTGTAATCCCAGCACTTTGGGAGGCCGAGGCGGGTGGATCACCTGAGGTCAGGAGTTTGAGACCAGCCTGGCCAGCATGGTGAAACCCCATCTCTACTGAAAATACAAAAATTAGTTGGGTGTGGTGGTGTGTACCTGTAGTCCCAGCTACTTGGGAGGCTGAGGCAGGAGAATCACTTGAACCCAGGAGGCGGAGGTTGCAGTGAGCCAAGATCACACCACTGCACTCCAGCCTGGGTGACAGAGTGAGACTCCATCTCAAAAAAAAAAAAAAAAAAAAAAAAAAGAAAGAAAGAAAGAAAGAAAAGAAAAAGAGAAAGAACTGCTATATGATCCAGCAATCCCGCTAAGTAAATATCCAAAACAACAGCAATCAGTATATCTAAGATATCTGCACTCTCACATTCATTGCAGCATTATCCACCATAGCCAAGATATGGAATCAGTCTAAGTGTCCATCAATGGATAAATGGATAAAGAAAATGTGATATATACACACAATGAAATATTCGTCAGCTGTAAAAAAGAATGAAATGCTTTCATTTGCAGAAACATGGGTGAAACTGGAGGTCATTATGTTAAGTGAAAGAAGCCAGGCAGAGAAAGACAAATAACACATATTCTCATGCATGTGTGGGAACTTAGAAATTGATCTCACGGAGATAGTGAATAGAATGGTGGTTGCTAGAGAATGGAAGCGTAGTGGGAAGGGACGGTGGGAGGAGCTGGTTAATGGGTACAAAAATACAGTTTCATAGAAGGAATAAATTCTGGTATTCAATAGCACAATAGGGTGACTATAACTAACAATAATTTATTATATATTTCATAATAGCCAGAAGAGAAGATTTGGAATGTGCCCAATGCAAAGACATGATAAATGTTTGAGATAATGTACATCCCAACTACCCTGATTTCATCATTATACATTGTATGCTATTATCAAGATAGCACATGTGCCTCCACAAGTATGTACAACTATTATGTATCCATAAAATAATAAAATTGTAAAAACCCTCAGAATTAAAGTTTACAAATTGCTTAAAAAATGGAAATAAAAGTACCTTCCTGGAGTTTTTGCAAGGATTACAAGAGTTAATGTGTTTTAAGTACATGGCATAGAAAGTACCAAATAAGTGCTAGTTTCTTTCTCTTCCCATAGAAAGTTAATTACCATAAAATAGTTATAGATGGAGTGAGTTGGGTGTTTAGAGTGAGAAGACTTTCAGCTGTGGGGATCAGGGAAGGTTTGTGGTCTTATGAGCTAAAGGATTGGAAGAATTAAGACTTACAGAAATAAAGGGAAAGGACATTGAAGAGAGAGAACAAGATAAGCGTCTGGAAGAAAGAGATTAGAGTTCAGATGCTCTTAAAAAATATCGTGTTCACTTTCATATTTTATCCTTTTCATATATGCCTTCTCCCGGGCTTTGAAGGAGGAAATTGGTGATGTTTTCCTCATTAGACATTTATCTATAAGGATCACAAATCAGACAATTTTCCCTTATTTTCCTTTTTCTCTCCTGTTTTCTTCTGCTATTCTTAAAAATGATTGGATCCCACCCTTCCCATCTTCAGCTGTAGCATTTTGAGACATTGTGCCTTTTTGTCTAAAATATTCTATTTGATGAACGGTTAAACTAATAGTCTGTGAGCTCCTTTAGGGCAAGAATCACGTCCAGGTTTCGTCTCCTCAGTGCTGAGGGTTGTGCTCAAAACAGAGTAGGTAGGGAAGGAATGATTGCCGAATGAATGAATGAATGGAGAAAGAGTGGATCTAGTTCCATGGGCCTAAGACTGAGGCCCATAGTCTCTAATGTGTTTATGCAAAATGCTGCATGGTAGCTGCTAATAGAAAGCAAGTTCTTTCCTCCAGTTCTGATGTGATGTGATCTGGCAGAGGGCAGCATGCCCATAAATCAACACACGGTAGTGTAAGTCATCCACTGGTGTTAGAAAGTTATGAGTAAGGCCAGGCGCAGTGGCTCACGCCTATTACATAATCCCAGCACTTTGGGAGGCCGAGGCGGGCGGATCACCTGAGGTCAGGAGTTGGAGACTAGCCTGACCAACATGAAGAAACCTGTCTCTACTAAAAATACAAAATTAGCTGCGCGTGGTGGTGCATGCCTGTAATCCCAGCTACTCGGGAGGCTGAGGCAGGAGAATCTCTTGAACCCAGGAGGCAGAGGTTCCAGTGAGCCGAGATCATGCCGTTGCACTCCAGCCTGGGCAACAAGAGTGAAACTCCATCTCAAAAAATAATAATAATAATAATGAGTAAAAGCAAATATAGAAATTGGAACTAATTAATAGTTATTTTGGTACAGGATGAAGTATAGTCTATGGGGCGTTTATCTAAGGAAGAAGAGGTGATCAAATAGACAGGAGAGATGTGTTACATGTGTGTAGAAAAAGGCTCCGTATCATTACATAGATGAGAAATACACATCTGTTTTATGGTATTTTTCATTCAATTCCTCACATACTTACTTAAATGTGAACTCAGGCCGGGCACAGATTACGGGCTCATGCCTGTAATCCCAGCATTTTGGGAGGCCGAGGCAGGAGGATTGCTTGAGCTCAGGAATTCAAGACCAACCTGGACAACAAAGTGTGACCCTGCCTGTACCACAACTACTACTAGTAGTACTACTACTAATAATAGAAAATAAATATGTACTTAGCAGTGGGTTGTGAATCAGAGGGCTACAAAGAGATTATGATGGAGCAATGCTTTGGGAAAGTTTCAACTTATAGGGAAATAAAACATACAAATCTGAACCATCTTTTAAGGCCTATATTAATCACCATCTCCACAAAATCAGCTTCATTTAGTGGAAACACTCCCTTGAAATTATTAACGTGCACTTGAAAACTTAATTTTGTGCCACCTTATAGTATGTATTAATTGCTTGCTCTTTGAGTATTAATCTTGTTTTTCCCTCCAATTTGAATATCTGAGATTAGGGACCATGCTTTACTAATGAAATGATCAATAGGAAATAGGAAATGCTCCTAGAATAATCCTATGTGATTCCTGAAGTCTCTAACAATTAATACTTGACAGACACAGACTGTTATCAACAGCAGAATCTTTGGATTAACTTTCTTAATATTGAAGAAGGGTATCTTATACTGGTATAAAGCAGTTCAATTTACAAAACAAGTTTATATGTATTATTTGTATTTCGTTAGGATCTGCAGGATACACATGAATGATCTCATTTGGAAACAATGGATTGTCAGTGTTTAGAGGAAATGTTTTTCAGTGGTGCCAATATGATTCAACAATTTTATTATGGTCTTCAATTACATTTTCTTCCTTATTTCTTTAGTATTGCTTCTAAATTCTTAAAGCCTACTGATCAATAGTATCAAGTGATGCTCTTTTCTATTATCTAGATTTTGCCATCCTGAAAGACAATGACATTTCATTTTTATTTTTTTGTCAGGTTTTTAAGTCCTTGTTTTAGATTTAGAACTAATGTCTGGGTTTTTTTTGGTGGTGGTGGTTGTTTTGTTTTTTAATGGAAGGGATGATGGGCAGTGTATCCCTGGGTGTCTGAGTGTATATTCATCCTGCTAATTGAGTTGTCCATTTTACTAATGTCTTCTGACAGCCTTTCATTGATCTTTATAGTTCTTTTCTGGGAAGGTGAGATTTTACAGACTCAAGGTGATTGGTTTAAACTTGGAATTTCTTTCCTTCTAATAGATAGTTTTTAAAAAAAACCCAAAAGAACTAAGAAACTAAGAGTTGATTCTGAAAATTGATAAAAGAAAGAATTGTTCTTTGTAACTTCACTCTAAATCATTATAATTTATATTTTATTACTAATGATTTATACATGCAGAAAGATAAACAGTTTCCACAAAGGCTTATTCACATTCCTGGATTTTAAACCTATGATGAGACTGTGTTTAATTAGAGGTACGGCCCACGGCAGTTGTTTTCTTTACAGGAATTTAAGAAATCATATATTTTAAACTTGCTTAAGATAAATCTAAATAATTCTTTGGATGGCATGTTAATTAGGAGATGCTGATATTTATAGATTAGGAATTATTTGTAGACTCTGCATGCAAATATTATGGGTAAAAAGAACCATTTAAGTATTTTGAAAATAACATTAGACCAGATGATGTTGTAATTATAATGTGTATTTGATTATGACCTTTTACTTCTTACAACAAACAGGATGGATTTGAAGCACTCTTTTCTAATGATAATTCCAAAGATTTAAATAACTTTCTAGATTTTTGTACCTTCCACACTGTATAAAACACCCCTGTCTTCCCTGTCAAGAAAATTTTGGGGGAAAAAAAAAGAAAACATTGTGCACAGAGAGTTGATAATGAATTTAAATATTACTAATGGAAATACTTTATAGTTATATCAACTAGGAGGGTTTTTTTAGTTTGTTAACTCAGGAGTTTTAATAAAAAATTGTCTCTAAGAATGCTGTTTCCACTGCATTTACATAAGGGATATATAATTTATTAGACATCTTTTTCATGTAAATATTCACATGAGTATTTCAAATTGTGAAATTACAAGTGGGTCTCTTTCCATGCATACTAGAAGACAGCAGTTATTTTGGCAGACAGTGCTTTTCATACATTCACCCCTTTACTCATTTATGGATACATGCAAATATTCTTATTAATTAAACTCTTTTCCTAATGTAAATAAAGATACTATGTGCTGATGATACAGTGATGAAAAAAGACCTGACAACTAACCTAAAGAAGGTCACATCTGGGTAGAAATGAACAAAACAATAAAGCAAAATATTGAAGCCAGTAAAACAGCTAACCAGGTTTCAAATAAAAGTCTATTGGTTCCAAAACCCACCTGTTTTCTATAGCAAATACGTCAAATCTTTGTTCATTTGTGTAGTGAACATTTGTTGAGCACCTGTTATGTGTTAGAAATTTTTTTTTTGGTTTGGTTTGCATTGCCTAGTGTGGCAGCCTCTAGCTCTGTGTGGATATTTACACTTAAATGAATTAAAACAAAATAATATTCTTCTGCTTCCTGTGGCAAATGTGACAACCAGGGCATCATCAGAGTGAGTAGTGGAGTTTGGGATATTCTGTTAATCCTCTGCATCATAAAAGGTGCTGTGCTGGAATTAGTGTTCTGAAGCCATAGGTAGCTTCCTCTGGGGAGGAGAAGTTTGCAACAGATTGGCCACCTTACTGTTTATGTGGATTATGTATGATCAGGCATTTGTACCTTTATACAGTATGTGAATGTGGAATGAACACGCCATCACATAATTACATAAGTCATCAACAAATCTTTATTGGCCATCTGCTTGTCAGAAAGCCTCTTCCTCATGAATAACCTTAGTCTCTAATCTCAAGGAGCTGAAAAATGGTTAAATAGGGCTGGGTGTGGCCCTATTTAACATTTTCCACAACTTTTAATTTCATTTCCTATCAATATTACTCAACAACAACAAAAAATTGGTTTTGCAATCCAAATATTGTATTAACAACATAAAGTTGGAAACTTTCAGCTAATGTTCATTCTATTTAAACATGCTTTGGGTTGTTGGTGCCCAGGATACAGCACCCCAAAATATGATTATAGGAGATCAGAATATACCTCAAAATACATGTTTTTGGCATATTGATGATTTTGAGCTGGTTATTTTGAGAAACTGCAGGCACAGGCAGGGAAGGAGGGGTATTGTAAAGTGGAAGTGTACTTAGCCTGTTAAGTAGAGAAACAATTTCCATAGGATAGGGTTTTGTGGGCTGGAAAGATAAACTGCAAGGCTCATCGTCTAAATGCCTGCTGTTCATAGAGTTAGAACGTTCTGCAGGAGTCTAATGGGGCTGTTACAAAAGGGTGGCTACTAAGCAATCTGAGACTCTCCAAGGGAAAGAGGCTTCATCTCTACAACTGCTACTTCAGTAGAAACAGGAGTCCATCAGAAACTCCATCTGCTTATCCAGTGCTATTTGATATTATAGTTATTATGTACTCTTTATGGACTAGAGACGGAGAGGTTGAACAATAGCACACACTGGCCTTAGATATGTTCCTATTTTATCTTTTAATTTTTGACTTGAAATATACAACCACTCCGGTCAAACCTCTCTACTGGTTGCTGATTTTGGGAATCCACCGTGATCTCTAAGATACCTGCAACCCCATTCCTACATGCAGTGTTAACCAGCAGTTCTCCCTTTTACTGTCCACCTAAGGAACATGCCATACCACATTCCCATCAATAGCATTTCCTCACCAGTTACAGAAAAGAGGTTGTAGCTAGCAAAAAGTACCGCCCACCCCCAACCCCCTACCCCCCCCACCCCCACCCCTCCACAACTGCTGGTCTTTCCAGTATGCAGGAGGTATGCTTGAGTACCCTCCAGGCCTCTGGGTTTGCCCTTGGCATTACTGATGTAAACACTGATTGGTTTATCTGCAGATCTCCTGGTTTTATTTTTGTTTATTTGGATGCACACATCTGGGCGTACATCTCATTAGGTTAAGGTGAGTAATTCCTTGAGGACTATTCCTTTGACCTCTTCTTATAAAGTGTTATTTACTTGAGCATACCCAGTTCTCTTAAGTTCATGTAGTTAATGGGTGGTGGGAAAATTGGTCTTCTGAAAAACAGAGACGGAAGAGGGAGTGGAAATACACCCCATGTTTGTGTTAGCTCCTCAGCTTCTGGAGTGTGTTAGTTTTACCAGAAAGATTTGATCAACAATTGAGAGGTCTAGACTTCAGATGTCAAACCTTTTGAGCCTGCTCATGTGCACACAGATACACATGAAGGAGGTGAGCTAAGGGACCGCCAAGGCGGTCTCCGGGTGCCTGACTGCTCACCCAGGCTGCTGACGGAGGCTCTGCCAGACTTCAGGATCAGAAACCTAATGTCATTAGTGGCTGGGAGTTAATGAGACTACGGCTTCAAATTCAGAAAGCTCATATGTAACTGAAGGCTGGGATGCAGTGGCTTACACCTGTAATCCCAGCACTTTGGGAGGCTGAGGCAGGTGGATCACCTGAGGTCAGGAGTTCAAGACCAGCCTGGCCAATGTGGTGAAACCTCGTCTCTACTAAAAATACAAAAAATTAGATGGGCGTGGTGGCCTGTGCCTGTAGTCCCAGTCAGTCAGGTGGCTGAGGCGAGAGAATCGCTTGAAACCAGGAGGCAGAGGTTGCAGTGAGCCGAGATTGCGCCTGGGCCACAGAGTGAGACTCTGTTTCAAAAAAGCAAAAACAAATTCAGAAAGCTCATATGAACCTGAGGGATAACATCAGAATGCTGATTTGTTAACTGATGCTCAGAAATGCTACTGTCGGCCAGGCTGGGCTTTCACAGGTGCCCAGCTGTAGACGTGGTGAGCCATGTCATTGTTGGGTGCACAGTAGGTTTGGGCTCTTGGGGTACAGTGTAAACAAGACAAATATTCAAGGTTGGGCTGAGAGGGTGGTGGGGTTTAAGCAGAGACAGGCGACAAATAAATAAAAGAAGAGGTAAAGCTCCCAGTTAATGATGAGGGCCAGGCAGTAGGGGCTGGCAGTAGGCCACCGTGGCAGGGACTGGCTGATGGCTGGGTTAGGTGGGCTGGCCAGTGAGGCTTCTCACACACTTTAGCCAGAGGGCACTTGGTGAGCTTCAAATGAAAGGTCACGGCAACCTCTTACCTTTTTGATAGACATAGGGTTTCTTTAGTTATGTTTATAAATACAATCCAGTTCAGGCCAGACCTCAAAGTTGATTTTGCATATCTTTATTTTCAGTTTTGTTTTTCTCCACGTTTACTGGGGCTTTGTCTAGCTCCTGTCCATACTCCGTATACCTATTCTGATATATTTAAAATCATGAAATAATCCTACCCTGTGTAGGAATATATTTCAGAGAATTATTTGCTATGTAAATGATTTCAGATTTTGTGCTGTTTATTCTTTTTTTTTTTTTTTAAGAGACACGGTCTCACTCTGTTACCCAGGCAGGAGTGCAGTGGTATGCTTATAACTCAGGGCAGCCTTGAACTCCTCCTGCTTCAGCCTCCTAAGTAGCTGGGACTATAGGCGCATGCACCATACCTGGCTAATTAATTTTTTTTTTTGTAGAGATGGGGTCTCACTATGTTGCCCAGGCTTGCATTTATTCATTTTATTTATATTCCTGGAATAAGATTACAGATAGGGCAGGAACAAGAGTGAGGTAAAGTGGTGGATGTCCTGGAGATGACTGAAAATCAGTAACGCTGTAGAAATGAAACTTATTTTCAGGGGAAAAGTCTTAAGTGTTAATTAACAAGTTCATGGGCAGACTCCTGCTGAACTAATAGAGGCAAACGTTCTTAAAATGGATCAAAATCACTTATCTTTTGGCTTGCTTCATTGAAAGCACTGTAAAGACAGATTTGTGAATTACAAATTTTTGAGACTGTCAAAAATTGGGCCCTAGCTTTCCTTAGGGGGTGGAAATTATGATCTGCTTATCCTCAAATTATATAATATTGTTTAATATAGTTTAAATAATGTCCTTTTATTTGTAATTAAGTGAGGCTGGGCATGGTGGCTCACACCTGTTATCCCAGCACTTTGGGAGGCCAAAGTAGAAGGACGGGTTGAGACCAAGGGTTCCAGACCAGCTTGGGTATCATAGTGATAACTTCATCTCTACAAAGAAACTAAAAACATTAGCCAGGCATGGTGAGAAGTGCCTGTAGTCCCAGCTACTTGAGAGGCTGAGGCGGGAGGATCACTTGAGCCCAGGAGTTTGAGACCAGCTTGGCAATATAGTGAGACCTCATCTCTCAGAAAGTAAAAAAAAATTAGCCAGGCCTGGTGGCTCATGCCTGTAGCCTGTTGTCAGGCAAGGGTGTGAGGACTGCTTGAGGCCAGGAGTTCAAAGCTGCAGTGAGCTATGATGCTGCTGCTGCACTCCAGCCTGAGTGACAGAGCAAAATCCTGTCTCCAAAAATTTTTTAAAAATCCAATAAACAAAAAAACCCACAAAAACTTTAAAGTGAAAAACTGTTTGAAGATGATCTTAATGACCCACTATCAGCATGGTGAGATTCCTCTGTCAGGCCACCACTGGGTGTTTATCTACGTGTGTGTTTCTGGGGGCTGGTTCCATTAGGCTGAAATGAGCTGGGAATTTAGCTTCTCAAGGGCCAATGCCAGTCATCTGACTTAGAACACCTGGGTACCTTGCCAACTTCCATCTGCTTCTCTGATATTATTTGTCAGCAATCTTTCAAAAATAATATTAGACAGCACCAGCAATAAAACAGATACTTTCTGCATGAGTGTGTTGGGAGCAGAAAATGAGCCAATTAAGCATTCTGTTTTCTGATGCATGTGAAACATTTGTACACATGGATGGATCTTTTGAAATTTGAGATTTGCTATTCTTTACAATAAAATTTAAGCTGAAGTCTCTCAGGGCTGGAGCCTAGATTTTTAAATTATTTGCATTTTTTTTTAGAGTGAAACTCTATAGTAAGTGAAATTGGCCATATATTTTAAAATGCATGAACATAACAAAGTTAGTCATTGAAAAGCAGGCAAAATCTAGCATGTATGTTTTTCTTTGGATTTGTTACGTCATTGAGTCATGTAATGAGTATTTAAGAAAACAAAACAGTTCTCTGGAATGCCTGAATTCCATGTTGGCAATTGGGTACAATAAAGCATTTGCAATTCTAGTGACAAATTGTACTGCAGTGCAGAAGGTCTCATCGAGCTTAGATCATTCGTTGCCTTACATATTGGTTCAGAGATGAGAAAATAAAAACATCAGAGTGAATTCACTAGGTTCTAGGGTTTCAGGTTCAATCTCTGTACAGAAAGACTTAACAAGAAAATCAGTAGTCACCAGAGATTATACTTGGCATTAGATTACACGAGATGAAGTTAAATGCTTTTGTTTGGGTTTGAATGAAAATATGCTGACAAATAATGAAGCAACAAATAAACAAACAAAAGCAACCTCTTCACTGCAGATGGGCTATTAACACTTAGCATTCTAAGCTCACCCATAAAAGCTGTAACCAAAGCTTTTTTATTTGATTTTGAAAGCCGTGCTTTGTTGAATATTTGATGAAACCGACTGCAGAGATCTGCAGTGATGTTCTTGGTGAATCCCTGTTGGCAGCTTTAGGAGTCTGTCCTTTTGGAGATTTCCAGGGGTTGATTCTCATTCTGGGGAAGAGGGGAAAAAAAGCACAGTGATTACAATCAAAGGAGTAGGCACCAGAATGATATGAAACACTCAGAATTTTCTGCCTTTTGATAAAAATTTCACATACTGGCTAGATAGAGCGATAGTTATCACATCAAATAGAGTAACGGTCCCACTCTTCTTAGAGGGCCAAGAACTATTCAACAGCTCACCTCAGTAAGGGCTGTTTTGCTGAGTAGTATCTCTGGGAATGATGGTGAGGCTATCCTTTCGTTTGCAATAACTTTTAGACTCGGTGAATATAATAGCATGATCATTCTTGCCTATAGAACAGAGAGGTAAGCAAAGCAGCTGTCAAATAGTAGTTTTCTCTAAATTAGGGAATAAATATAGTTCTTTAAAAAATTTTTTTGGAAGTTGATATTTCAAAATATGTAGTATGTGAAATTGAGTAATGTGATATTATATGAAACTGAACTGATGTCTGATTGATCCACCTCCTTTTTTTTTTTTTTTTTTTTTTTTTAAATTTAGAGATGAGGTCTTGCTGTGTCACCCAGGCTGGACTGCAGTGGCTGTTTACAGATATGCTTATAGCAGCCTTGAACTCCCAGGCTCAAGTGATCCTCTTGTCCCGGCTTTCAGAGTAGCTGGGACAATAGGCACATGCCACTATGCCAGTCCATAAGTAGAGTTATGTGAAGTCAGTTTAGACAAGAAAGTTCTTTAAAAATTTGCATGTTAGGAGCCTAGTCAGGAAATAAGCTGAATTTCTGTTTCTTAAAGCAAACCCCAAACAACAACAATTCCTTCTTTTCCTGGATACTTACCAAGCCAAAGAGAAACGGATTCATTGAGATACTGATCTCAGGAGAACAGTAATCCTGGAGCTTGGGCTATCACAGTGTGTCTTGGAAAAGGCCTGTAGTGGCACACAATTCATCTGTAATTGGGATTAGTAGCCCTGGCCAGCTGTAGAGTGGAGGACAAATGTTGGCTTCATTCCATGTCAGTGTCCTTCTTAGATTCCTGGGCATTAATCGTTAAATGTTGTTAGGAATGAAGCTTAAAGAAAAGCAAGTTTGAACTTCTTCATGCAGGGGGTGCTGGGTTGGGGGAGAGATGGAGAGAGACACTGGTTTAGAAACTTCATATTAGAATTTTTGATGCCATACTTTTGCTTTGGGTCATTTATTTGATGGCTATAAACTTTGATTGATGGTTTCTATCTTCTCATAACTCTGCTCATTGAAGGTGGAGTCTTCTATTTCTTAAGAGGACTGATTACCAGGTTGATAGATTTCCAAGCCTTCTGTTGTTCTATACTCTCTCTTTTCCTGCCTTTCGCCGAGAGGAATATCCGTGTTTCCTGAGGATGGGGGTGAAAAAATGTCTATCCAATAATGCTTGAATTATAATTTTGGTGACAAAAGTTTTCTTTTGGGGAGGGGGAAGGAATTTAGAATGTTTAGATTTCACTTTTCTCTGTTCTTGCTAAATGTGTGTGCCGGCATAAAGAACAGAGCTGATGGCTGTCAGTTATACGCCGCTTTCAGATGTCGAATGCTCTACATTGTCTGTAGACTTAATTTGATGGTCAAATGTAGTTTTGCCTTTTGATATTTTAGGCATTGACTTAAATATACTAGGAATATTTAAGTCTATCCGAGTCTTTCCTCCCCATGGGATCCAGGCCATTTGAAACAATATGGTTATTGGTGCTCTGTTTTTGTTTTATTCTTCGTAGTCAACCAAAAAGAACAGAGTTGATTACATGTTTCATTTGGGATATTTATTAATGACAATTGCTTTCATCTTTAGATCTTCCATAATCAGAATAGGAAATTTAAATACCTTGGGTATGTCATGGTTATTTCACTTTTTAAAAATAGGGATACAATGAGATGTTTGTAATTATATAAAATACTAAATTGTTATTAAATTTTAGTTAGTGTCAACATGTATTCATCATTTTCTAAATGTCATCTAATCAGACTCTAATTTACTTTCCCCCAAATATCAAGAGATCATTCTGAATTTGTCTTGCTCATGATATGGATGGGTTACTCTGTGTGATTGCCTTTTTTTTTTCTTCTTCTTCTTTTTTTTTGAGATGGAGTCTTGCTTTGTCGCCAGGCTGGAGTGCAGTGGCACAATCTCGGCTCACTGCAACCTCCACCTCCCAGGTTCAAGCAATTCTCCTGCCTCAGCCTCCCGAGTAGCTGGGATTACAGGTACACGCCACCATGCCTGGCTAATTTTTTGTATTTTTAGTAGACACAGGGTTTCACCATATTGGCCAGGCTGGTCTCGAACTCCTGACCTCGTGATCCATCACCTCGACCTCCCAAAGTGCTGGGATGTGAGCCACCGTGCCCTGCCATGATTGCCTTTTTGCTGGGTAAAATACACTTTTAATTTCTTGCTGGGCTTTTAAAATAAATACGGCTGAAATTTTACATTCACATTTCTAAATACATAACATACATGAAATACTTTAAACAAAAAATGATAAAGTAAGCAGACTTGCTTGGCGCTCTAGAAATAATTATACTATTTGTATCTAAATAGGTTTCTGTTGTATGGATAATTCATGTATTATAGGCATGATAACCTGTTTACAGAAAATTCTAAGCATGTGGATCTCCTATCTTTTATGATTTTTTCGTGTAAAAGTTTCCTTTAAAATCAGCTGTTTTATATTGATTTAACTCAGTTTGGGCATCTCTTTTTCATCCTTTATTCATTCATTGAGTGCTTTTTGTGGAAAGTTGTTATTATAGGTGCTGGGGATTCAATGGTGAACAAAGTAGATAAATGTCTTTCTCCCTTGAAGTTTATTTTGGAAGATGGAGGGATTCTGGCAATAGAATAAGCAAACAAGGTATTTGCAGGCAGCATTTTGTTGTAAAGAAAAAAAAGAAAAACACATGGTAATAGGAAGAGAGCAACATGGAATTTGGGAGTAAAAAGGAGGAAAAGGTGGGTTAATCCAGTTCTCCTTTTCTATGGATGTGCCATTTGGTTTGAGTCATAATGATGAAAAGGAGCCTGCCCTGGAAACTTCTAGGGGGAGAGCATTCAAAGCAGAGAAGCAGCAAGTGCCAGGCTCTTAGGCAGCAGGAAGCTCCACATGTTTGAAGGCATCGGGAGGGAGTCTGCATATCCACTGTAGAAGGTGGAAGGGAGAGGAGGCGGGTTCGGAATGAGGACTTGAACGATGATAACACTGAGAGCTGTGACCCTCCTCCGTCTCTGCCAGGTGGTCTGGGTAACGGCAGGTGCTAACAGAAGACTGGCTAATTATAAAATACGACTAAGCGGAAACAGCTTTGTAGCTTAAAAAAAGTATGTATTTCATTTCACTCTCATCACAAGTCTTTGTTTTGTTTTAAATCTTTGCAATAAATATTTGTTAAAGTGCCTCATGAGGATACAAGAAAGAAATTTGGAAACAGAAGAGGTTATTATCCTGCAGATATAGAAGATCTTTCATGAAGACATTGAGGAGGAAGATATGACCTATACTCAGCTATTGTGTTGTGGGGCTGGAGGAAGACATGGCTGGTGCAAAACACAGAACGTGTCTGAGCTTAGAGGTGGTTCTGGAAAACAGAATATGTGTAGGTGTAGGTTTCTGTTTAGGTGTCGGTGGAGAAGTAAGTGTAGGCATCTGCGTGACACCAGTGATTTTCAGTCTGGGTTCTGAGTAGTTCTAGTTCCTGGAGGTTCCAGGAGGGATATTGTTTATGGTAAAGGGGAGGATGAGGCCAGCTGGGTGACTTCTCTTGAAAATAGATTCTCCCCATGAGGTCGGGAGATCGAGACCATCCTGGCTAACACAGTGAAACCCCGTCTCTACTAAAAGTACAAAAAATTAGTTGGGTGTGGTGGTGGGCACCTGTAGTGCCAGCTACTCGGGAGGCTGAGGCAGGAGAATTGCTTGAACCCAGGAGGCGGAGCTTGCAGTGAGCCGAGATTGCACCACTACACTCCAGCCTGGGCGACAGAGCAAGACTCCATCTCAAAAAAAAAAAAAATAGATTCTCCCATTAAAAAAAAATATTTAAAGTACTCTGCTTTAAAATGTCAGTAACAGTATACCTTTTGACATGTAGTAGTTGCTAAATGATTGATACAGATACTGATGTTTTTGGAGGTAGAGGACTTTCTCATTCTAAACCCTGTTTGCCATACATCTAGAACTCACTAAGCCTGTCCTGTTGATGATCACCTCTAGAGGAAATACAGGTGCCAATATGAATAACGGAATCAGAATGCCTTTGATTTATTTAATCTCACTTCTGTATACTCATTTCCTTACTATGTGTTAGAAACCCTCTCAGCCCAGTGTCTTAGGTAACCGTTCTGTTGAAATTTTGGCTGATCGCCACTTGTACTATCAAAATATTAATCACATCTTATCTAGAAACAAACAAAAATCTCTGAGACTCCTCTGGAAGCCATTATTCAAAACCTAATTTCCTCAGGCTTCTCTAATTATGCAGTGCAGTGGGTTAGAAAAAGGCTTCCATAGCTTCATCTGCGTCTGCCTCATTGCTTCCTATTTTTGCCACACACCCAGTGAGTAATGGTATGGCTTTGCTTCCCAAACAGGTTAAAGATTATGAAGCTCTGTGCTATCATAAGGAGGTTTTCAATGGGAATATCTGCTTTTACCCACCGGTCTTTCTGTTTTGCCCCCAAGAGGTTAAAAGCAGTTTTCATTCTCATCCATTTTGTGTTTCCTGGATGTTGGCCCAATTTGCCTTAACATCCGTGTCTGCTAAGCAGCAAGTCAGCTTAGCTTGGCTGTGCCCTTACAAATATGCATATGTTTGAGAAGAGAGGAGGAAATTAATCAGAGCCCCTGGCTTAAATGATCTCCATTCTTACTAGCACTATCGGGATGTAATTAAATCATGGTTTAATTCTTTCTGTTAGGGAAATCTTATTCCTTTTTAACCAAGTTCTTAATGTATGGTCATACAAGGTGAATTTAATCAGTAAGCAGTTTCATTAGACTTTGAATGTTGTTTGCTGTTGGGTAGGTGAAGCTCATTATGCTTCCTAGGCTTGGATCCAGACAGACAAGGTTTTATCATTAACCTAGTTTTCATCAAGGGAACAGTGTGCAAACTGGGTACCACCTGTGAGAAGCATCATTTAAGAGGCCAGAGGTGAGATCCTAGAAAATTATGTCACCTTGCTTGTTTACAGGCCATTGTACAGAAAAAACAAAAAAGCTGATAATTTAAAAACGGCTATTTTTGATCTTAAATACCTGTTTGATTTTTTTTTTTAATGAGGAAAGGCAGTGCTCCAATGAGAACATTCTCACAGGCAGGTAACAGAATAGCACACTTTTATTAGGAGGGGTAAAAAGAGATGCAGAAAGCAAGGAAATCTTTTTAGAAATGTATTAAATACTAAATTTTCTTTTGCTGTAGGTTGTTTCTGGCAAAACCGGAGTTTTATTGATGGACTTCCTTTATGTACTCACTCTGCGTTAGCATGTTGGAGACATAGGATTTGCTGGCATCATCTGGTTATGAATGTGACTGTGGGGCCCCAGGGAGGTTCCCAAGGTTCTGGTTGGTGGTTCGAGTCAGGACTCAGGTTTTCCTGTCTCTGGAACAGTCGTTTGTGTTATACCAGGCCATAGGCACAGAATGGTGAGTGGATTTCTATCCTAGGAGAGGTCCTTTGCTGTGTTCAAGTACTTGGGATATCGAATGACAGAACTTGTTTTTAGAGAGATGACAGCAATAAGCCTGCTAGTATGAGCTGTTGGCAATCATATAGCCCATTTAACCCTTATGATAACTGTTAAGGTTGTTATTATTATTACTAATACTACAAAAGCATGTTGACTTAAATTTGCAGATGAGGAAAAAGAGGTTCAGAAAGATGAATCTGCAACCCAGGTGCCTTGATATAGATGCTGTAGATACGACAAACTACTCTTTTTTTTTTTTTATCAGCTTATTGCATCCAGACAGGGTTTGAAATGGCTCTGAAAACAAAAAAGGAAGCAAGAACCCAGTAGTTGTGTGTTTTCCTGCTTCTACTGGGGTTTGAAATTGAAGACAATTGGTTTGAGTCCTAGCACTGTTCCTCATTAGCTGTATGCCTTGGGCAAATTACTTAATCTCTCCAAACCTTTATTTCCTCCTTTGTAAACTGAGGACAGTAATAGAATAGAATCCATCTCACTGGGTTGTGGAGAGAATTACAGGACTCCTACACTTGAAAAGTGGTCGGAAGGGCACCTGCACAAGGTCAGCTGTTTGTGATTGTTAGTAATATTGAGATTGCTTTGAGAATACACACTCTGACAATAAACTGAGGATGCTTGTTGGAAAGAGTAGCTGGGTCAGGTGAGTCTTTCACCTTGGAGTGACTGATCTCTTTCTCTGCATGTTAAGTTTTCTACACACCGCAAATACCTGTCTATACACGCACACAGTTTATATGTGTGATTCTTAATTGCTTGGTAGGCATTATAAAAGGGGACAAGAGCATTAAAAGAGAGTTTGACTTTCATGATAAAAGATTAAGAGTGTTGGCCGGGCGCGGTGGCTCACGCCTGTAATCCCAGCACTTTGGGAGGCCGAGGCGGGCAGATCACGAGGTCAGGAGATCGAGACCATCCTGGCTAACATGGTGAAGCCCCGTCTCTACTAAAAATACGAAAAAATTAGCCTGGCGTGGTGGCGGGCGCCTGTAGTCCCAGCTACTCTGGAGGCTGAGGCAGGAGAATGGCATGAACCTGGGAGGCAGGGCTTGCAGTGAGCCGAGATCTTGCCACTGCACTCCAGCCTGGGCGACAGGGCAAGACTCCATCTCAAAAAACAAAAAAAAAAGAGTATTGGTGTCATTTAATTTAAAAGAGATTGTTTCAAGGATGCTTAGTTATGTTGGAGTATTCAACATTATGAGAATTTTTTAAAAGTTTCATTTTTCTTCATTCAATCTAGTTTAATATTTAAACAGAAGGTGTATAGTGAGGTTAGAGGATGGTGCGTTTATAATAAATCGGTGTGGCAGAGTTTTCCTTAAGTATCTTGAGTTTGAATCTGTCTTTAGATTAGTGGCAACATTAAAGAAATAGTAAATAACCAGTCTGTTCTTACTAATGTCACCCTGGCTTATATCCTCTTACATGACCTGGTTTCCTGCTGTGCTAGAGCATCATCCTTAGTCCTTTCCTCCTAAAGTAGGCACTGTTTGAAATGAACTTTGATTTCAAATGCACCTGCTCTCTATTGATGTTGGCCATTTGCATTTATGAATCTTCCTCCCTCACTGTTCACCCACTACCCCAACCCCTGACCTCTCTTTTCATCTGGCCCTTCCCTACCTATGATAACACTCAATGGAGTGAGTGGCCATTGCCTACTTGGTTTTTGTTTCCCCTTAGACCTAATCTGAGATTTGCCAATCTCATGTTCTAATATCCCGACTGCTTTTTCAAATAGGAGTTAGCAGAGTATGGTGACTCCATTTTAATTTGTGCTGAATATTTAGGAGTAAACTCATAATAGGCCTATTCTGGACTCTGCTGTTAGAAATACTCCAACAATGACACAGGATCAGGAATCAATAGTATTTGTCAAGTATTTCCATTTCTAGCAAGGGAAAAATGATCTATTAAATATACTCCACATTAACAAAAAAGTCCCTGATTTATGTATGTTGATCAATGAAGGTTAAAAAACACTGTTAACTAAGGTTTTCTATTTGCAGTGTTTTCTGACAAATATTTTTCCTCCAGATTTTAAGCGTGTTATTATGAGTCAACCTTTATGTTTGTAAAGCCTTAGTCTTGTTAATAATGTATAACTTCCAAATGAATCATATACTTATGCATAGCACTTGAATATGCAGATTTTATAATACAATCTGAAGGCTCATATTTTTCTGTTTATTTTTAAAATGTTAAGTCTCATTAGCATTATATTTTACAGATATATTATGTACCATATAACCTCTACAAATCACAGTCAATCTGGATAGTGTCCCCTTAGGGCACCTTAATTATATGCTGTAGTTCTAGAATTCTTTTATGTGGTTTTTTAGAGATAATTTCTCCTCTTTATTTTCCTTATGAGGCATCTTAAAATAGCAAAAAATGGTTGCTTTGGAACCTACTGTTATAGATGCCAGTCTTCTGGAAGTGTTTCCAGATTTTTTTTTCTTTTTTGGCCTTTAGAACATTAAGTATTCTGTAGAGTTATGCCCATTATCCATAAATGATTTTTTTCAGTGTATGTCTGTCTCTATGTACCTACCTATATGCTCATACTTGAATGTGTATATGTGCACCAATAACATACCTGAAAAATGGATGAGTTGTAATTGTTTTAGTAGAGATAACTGAACCATTGATGTGAACTCTTTGGGATCTACAGCATCATCCTTAATGCCTGTGTCATACCTTGTATATCATTTTGAATGGCTTTTGGAGCTTAAAGTATCTCTGATTTCAAGCAGAGTGCCCTGCTAACCAAGACAGTCCCAGCCAGGACAATATCTACTGGGTTCCAGGTTCACTCTGGTCTTGTTCCTATATTCCTCATTTCCAGGCAGAAGGAACTATCACAGTCCTCTTTCCTGTCTCAACAGTTGCAATTTGTAAAGCCTATAGCAGGTTTACTTTTGTGCTCCATAGCATCAGCTCTGAGAATGTTAAACACATTGTAGACGTGATGTGTTGGAAATTTAAAGTTATGTTTTCTGGGCCAGGCGCGGTGGCTCATGCCTGTCATCCCAGCACATTGGGAGGCAGAGGTGGGAGGATTGCTTGAGCCCAGGAGTTCAAGGCCAGCCTGGGCAACATAGTGAGACCTTATCTCTGCAAAAAAATCATTAGCCAGGCACGGTGGTGTGTACCTGTAGTCCCAGTTGTTTGGGAGGCCAAGGCAGGAGGATCACTTGAGTCCAGGAGTTAGAGGCTACGGGGAGCTCGGGGAGCTATGATCACTTCACTGCACTTCAGCCTGGGCGATAGAGCAAGACTCTGTCTCTTAATGAAAAAAATATATATATATATATAAAAAATGAAATATATAAAAATAATATATAAATATATATTTTTTTATTAACTCTGGCACATAGCAAATATTATTTCACTTACATTCATGTTGTAGAATTTTCTCAGATAATTTTGTCTAATTACAACTGACAGCACTTCCTAATTTACTTTAAAATATGCTATCATTTATAAACATGTATGGTTCTTATGAAAATCACAAAAATGGCCAAAAGATGATTTTACTGGGTTCTGGCACTTTGTTGCACTGAATAGCCTTTGAAATAAATAAACCCTTGGTTTTGACTTGAAAGTTTTATTTATTTATTTATTTATTTTTTTAAAAAACACCTTTAATATCACAGATTTCCTTATAGCAATATATGAACTTTCTGATTTCTATTGACTTTTCTGATTTTGTTATCAAACTGTCAATACATTCTGTGCCTTGGCAACTACATGTTCTTTAAAGAAGTAAAATGTTTAACATTTCAGGTGTTAAATTTTTGCTTGGGATCACAGTGAAAATACTGATATTTTGATACAGTTGGTAACCTTCCATTTGTGTTTTATTGCTGTGTGTCTGGTAAAGACGTTCTCTAAGTTTGTGTGAAAGTGTAGTAGAAGGTTCAGGAACATACAGTACTTCAAGAAAACTGTGTATCTACAACAAGTTAATATTGGGAAGAGATTAGTGTTTTGAGATGTTTATAGAGGAGGAAATTATATCTTGATATTTACTGAGATTACCAGTGCTTTTGCAAATAGAATAACTAGATCTTTTTGTAAACAAAAACGTTGACTTTAGTCTATGTTGTATTACTGTTGGAAATATTACCTCCTTATGAACCTCATAAGACATGGAGCCTGGCTATGGTCACTGTTAGGAGTATTTTGCTGCTCTCTTGCTGGCAAAAATCTTTGCATGGGTCCTCCTTCTGGACTGGCTACTACACGATCAAGTCAACTGTCTGCTTTGGAATGGCAATATGTCATGACATATCAAATTTTATCTTAAAACTTTTTTTAATTGTTAAACTTTACATATTTAAAATAACATTACAGATATGTAAATTATGAAAGCTAGTCATAAAATGAAAATGTAAGAGCACACTTCCCAATTTAAGAAGCATTACTAACTTTCAGTGGTTCTCTGTAAGCATTTTCCTGATCACAATTCCTACTTCCCAACTGATAATTCCTATCCTGAATTCTAAGCTTATTCTCTTGCTTTCCTATTTTTTAAAAACTGCATACGAGCATGTTACTTGCTTGTTTCTGAACTTTAAAATGATTTCACATACCATGTATGTATTCTATTGCAACCTGCTATTTTCACTTAGCATTACATTTCTAAAATTGATCCACATTGATGTTTATAGCTATAGATCATTTATATTCACAAGTATACAGCACTCTATTTTGTAAATATGCAGCAGTTTATGTGAACTACTGTTGATGGTCATTAGATTGTTTCTTTTAAAAACCATGCTGCTATGAACAATCTTGTATGTATCCTTCTAATGTACATGTACAAGAATTTCTTTAGGGTTTATACCTAGAAGAGAAATTACTGAGCTGTAGAGTATGGGCATGCTCATTTTCACAAGATAATACCAAATTATTTTCCAGAGTTTTCAAAGAAACATATATAAATTTCTTATGTATGGAAAATATGTATTTTCCAGGCTAGCAAATACAGATTATAAGACAATGCCAAATGTCTTCCAGAGTTTTCCAATGCATGCTCTCAGTGATAACATGTAAGAATTCTGGTTGTTCCACATCTTTGCCATCCTTGATATTGTCAGGCATTAATATTTTTGCTTATGTAATGGATGTAAAATAAAATCTTGGGGTTTTAATGAGCATTTCTCTGATTCCTAATGAGCTCAAATATCTTTTCATGTGGTTACTGGGTGTTTATCTTTCTTCTGGAAATGCTTCTCATTTGTCTATTTGGTTGTCATTTTTGTTATTTTATTTATTCTAGATGCTGTCAGTGACATGTGCCAAGGACATCTTACTTCCTCTAATTTTTGGCTTGTCTTTTCCATTCTCTTTCCGGAGTTCTTTGAAAAGGCATTCTTATAGTAGGAGAATTTGTCTGTCATTTTTCTTTGTTGTTAAGGCTTTTTTGTTTTTGTAGTTAAGGCTCTTTTGTAGTTAAGGCTCTGTGTGTGTGTGTGTGTGTGTGTGTGTGTGTGTGTGTGTGTGTGTGTGTGTGTTTAAAAGAGATCCCTCTGTCTTCTAAGGTCATAGAGTTACAGCTTTAAAAATTTTCTCTTAGATGTCAAAGTTGGCTAGTTGCGGTGGCTCACACCTCTAATCCCAGTGCTTTGATCACTTAAGGCCAGGAGTTCAAGACCAGGCTGGGCAACATAGTGATACCCTGTCTCTACAAAAAAATATAAAAAATTATCTAGGCATGGTGGCTTGCACCTGTTGTCCCAGCTCCTTGGACAGAGGTGGGAGGATTGCTTGAGCCCAGAGTTCAAAGCTGCAGTGAGCTATGATTACAACATTGTACTCTAGCCTGGGTGACACAGCGAGACCCTGTTTCAAAAAAAGAATAAAGTGTCAAAGTTTTGCTTTCAACCTTTAGGTTCTTAATTCACCAAGAATTTCTAAATTTCCATTTATGTACTATGTGGTGTGAGATAGATATATAATATTATTTTTTCAAAAAATATATAAACTACTATCCTAGCAGTGTTGATTAGGCTGTCTTTGACCATTGCCACCTTTGTTGTATGTGTGTTTCTGAGATCCCTATTTTGTTAAATTTGCTTATTTCTGTGCCAATGTCATCTTGCTGAATTATAATAGCTCTTATAATAAATGTGATAGCTTTTAGGGCAATCCTAGCTCTCTTCTTCTTTAGGAATGCCTTGAGTAGCAAATTTTATCTCTGCTGTATGGCTGGTACCAGAGAAACAGAAATAGAATTGGAGCTTCTATGTTGTTTCAGTCATCTTCAGAAATATTTCAGATATGAAGAGACATACTCTTAGAGCTTGTTGGACAAAGATTCATTAAAACCATGATCTGCTGATAAGGCCAATTATATTGTGTTGAACTCAGTCTTTCTCATTATATTTCTTACAGGCAAACTTGAAGATTTACCAAGAAATTCAGAAGTTAGTATCAGATTTTACTTGGGATCACCCCAGGAAATGCTTTATGTTTAGGAGACTAGGAATACCTTCAGAAGTCCTTGAGATTGTCTTCTAGAAATGGGGAGGGAGAAGGAAGCAGAGGAGAAGAACTGGTATTTATTGATGTCTATGAATACCAACTGTTCCACTGAACTCTTTATCTGCGTTATTTCATGTAATGCCCCAGCATCTCTGAGATGGAATTCTTCTTGTTTTATAGCTGATATGTGATCTGGGCTACATACCGTCTCTCTGTATCCAGAATGTACATTCTTACCACCCATATACCAGCTGCCCACCAGCTGCGTTGCTGATGGTGCTCTGGGGCTAGCCAAGAGGAATGTCTGGAAGAGCTGAGGGTAGCCTTTTAGAGAGGAGATAACTTTCAGCAGATGATGCATCTGGAGAAGCGTGGGGGAATCTGCCGGGCTGAGTCTGAAGAACCTTGGCCATAGCCGGCAACATCTATTGTCTTTGCAGAGCTCTGTGCTGGGACTAAATTCTGCCTGATTGACCAAGAAAAAGCAAAAGAGGGTCAGCATGTCCTTTGTAAGCCGGAAGCGCAGAGCAAGGTTTCAGATTGGCAGTGGCTTTCTGATCAAATTTCGGGTCTTGACACAGCAAGTGATAAAGCTTTGACCCCTGGGTATATTGTTGATGGGAGACCCGACTTACTGAGCCATGTCCGTGTCGTCCTGTTGGTAAGGGCTGTTCAGGATCCTCAGTGATGAGAATTGGTTGTGAGTTAGAGCCTGGGACAATGGCCTGATGGGAAATGCTGCATTTGGTCCCCAGGTCAGGAAGGCGAGGCTCCTGGGGCTGGCTAGAGGACAGACAGGGGTGAGCACAGCTCAGGTGAGGAATGACAAGGGAAGATTCCACGCTGCCTATCCCTAGCCCTCAGAGCTTGCCTGTTCTCCCTCTCCTTTCAGCTGTGGACACTGGGCTGCTGGATGTGACTTGCATTTCACATTTTCCCAGTGATTTGGGCCTGATTTATCTCTTGATTGCTCTCTGGTAACCGACTCTCCAGCCTCTTCATTTCCAGTACACAACTTGGCTTTATAGCCCTTGGACACTTTCCCAACTTTTGATCTTTCAGTGCAACCCTTCTTTTTCTGCTTAGTCTTTCTGGTTGGCTCAGATTGAAAAAAACCCAAATATATATATGTGTGTGTGTGTATATATGTATATATAAGTATATATATGTATATATGTATATATGTATATGTGTATATATGTATATGTATATGTGTATATATGTATACATGTGTATATATGTGTATATATGTATATATAAGTATATATACACATATATACATATACATAGATATATGCTATTATATAATAAATATTAATATGTTAATAGTAATATGCTAACATGAATTATACCAATTATATAATAATTACTAATTTCAATCATGTAAATATATATCAATATTAATAAAGTATATATTTATACTAATTAAATATATTTGATTATATAATTATAACAATAAATATATAACTAATAATATACTAATTAATAAAAATTGCTAACCCTCTCTGAGCAGATTTATCCAATATGCTAAGCACTTTTATTATTTATTTGTTTATTTTTTTAAGACAGAGCCTCACTCTGTCACCCAGGCTGGAGTGCAATGGCATGACCTTGGCTCATTGCAACCTCCACCTCCCGGGTTCAAGCAATTCTCCTGCCTCAGCCTGCCAAGTAGCTGGGATTACAGGCACCTGCCACCATGCCCTGCTAATTTTTGTATTTTTAGTACAGATGGAGTTTTACCATTTTGCCCAGGCTGGTCTTGAACTCCTGACCTCAAGTGATCCGCCCTCCTCGGCTTCCCAAAGTGCTGGGATTACAGGCATGAGCCACCACACCTGGCAGCTAAGCACTTTTATACATTACCGTATCTAATCCTCACAGTAGCCCACAAGACAGGTTCCGACGATTATTCCTATTTGAAGACACAGGAAAAGTAAGTTCTTTACTCAAGGTCAACCTGTTGGTGAGTGGCGGAGTCAGGATTTGAACCCAGGCTGGGAGCTCAAGAGAGGCTCTTTAACATCCATGCATGAGCTGTACTGTCACTCAAGAGACAGACCAGCAGATGTAGAAACTGCTAGGGTGTGTCAGATGAGAGATGTTTTTGATGCTGTGACAGAGATGTTTTTGATGCTGGGGACAGCTGAGACTCTCATACATACAATTGGCTCTGGTATGCCTCAACTAGAAATAAAGCAGTACATAGGACACGAAACCCATCAGCCTCCACATCCTGTGAAAATCACTGCTGCACAATGGCTGCTGAGTGTCTTAATAGGTCTAATGACTGTGCTGCATGAATGTAAAGTAGGTTCTGTATGCAAAGGGTTAAGAAACTGGATGATATAGTTAGTTTTGATATAAAAAGAAGGATTAATGATGACCGAATTTTTTTCAAATCTGCAATTCCTGTAACAGCTGATTAGTTCCGTGATGGTTAATCCAGACAGACTAGCGTCACAATCTGGCCATCAAAAAGCAGTGACTCACCATTGCCAGAACGAGTACGTGTTAAATTGAATTGCAGTCTGGTTGGAGGCAGCTGTGGTGTGGCTCAGCAAATGTGGTCTTACATTTCCTTTTAAACTATAAGACATTTGCTACATACAAAAGAATGTATGTTATGCATATGTAGATTATGTGAGATGAAACTCCCTGGGGTTTATTTATTTATTTATTTATTTATTTATTTATTTTGAGATGGAGTCGCACTCTATTGCCCAGGCTGGAGTACAGTGGCGCGATCTTGGCTCACTGCAGACTCCGCCTCCCGGGTTCAATCAATTCTCCTTCCTCAGCCTCCTGAGTAGCTGGGATTACAGGTGTGCACCACCACGCCCAGCTTATTTTTGTATTTTTAGTAGAGACGGGATTTTACCATGTTGGCCAGGATGGTCTCAATCTCCTGACCTCGTGATCCACCTGCCTCGGCCTCCCAAAGTGCTGGGATTACAGGCGTGAGCCACCGCACCCAGCTCCCTGGGGCTTCTTTTTAATCATATACCCTGCCTCACCTTCCCTTCCTGGAAATTGTCACCATCTTACTCTTATTTCTTACTCTCCTGCTTTCCTTTATTTTTGCCACAGGAATCATGAATATATTGTTAAACAATCTATTTTTAGATTTGCTTGCTTTTGAACTTTATAAAAATGGTATCACATACTATATATTGTCTTTGGTGACTTGGTGCTTCTAAAATACATCCATGGAAATCCTTGGCTGTAGATTGTTAGTTACAACGGTATACTAGTCCATTGTGTGGACATACACAATTTAAAAAATCTATTATAATAGTTTTTCTGGTTTTGGAGGTTGGATCCAGCTGGATATATTTGTGAAACCCCCAGAGAAGGCCAGGAAGATGGGAAAAGTAGCCAGAGGCCAGACATTTAGGCATTACAGGCCAGCATAAGGAGTGTGGATTTTGATTCTAAATCCATTGAGACTCTATCAAGGGGTTCTAAATAGGGACCTGATATGATTGAATTTATGATGATTTACTTCATTTTATCTTTCAGAGTATCCCATTTATCTGGTGAAACAGCCATGAAAACAGGTAACTCTGGTTTAGTATGATAAGCGCATTAGTTGGTTTGGTGATGAGTCTCTGCTCTTTGCCAACCCGATCCTGACTCAGGCCCTTCTATATTCACCACCACAAAACAAGTCGGCTGTTAGGGGCTTGCAGATTGGAATAAAGCTATAAGTCACCACCAATCCTTCTCTTTTTCAAAATATATCATCCTAACTTCTTAACCGTTTACATGCAGAACCTACTTTGCATTGATTTGCTAGATATATTAGTAGAATCCTAGGGCAAGCTATTCATGAAGCATTTGGTAGAGGAGGAAGAATCTGTAAAAAGTGACTAGGAAAGATTAGTTGGAGCAAAAGGACTAGAACCAAGAAAGAGGAATTTAGAAGGAGGCTGGCTTTCAGTGTATAAAGAAGGCAGTGGCTGGCACGATTAAATAAAGGCTATGGGTTTGCAAATTACAGATAGTCCTTTGGATTTACCAGTTAGGAGGTCATCAGTGACCTTTTGATAGTAGCTTAGGAAAGACACGGGCATGGAACCACTGAGCACCTAATGAAGGAAAGAGTATTGAAATGGTAATATGACGTATTCAGGTTAGGAGAAAGAGAATTCTCAGGTAGTAAAGATAAAGCATACACATAGAAATGAGTTTTGGGGGACTCTTTGGAGATAACCTCAGAACGAAAGTAAAATGTTGCAGTGGAGAGTTAGCCTAATCAAGAAACACAGAGATGACTAAGTGACCTTCCCACACATGAACACAATATTTTGTCTCATCCTTTGTTCAATTTAGAGACTGACCTTTGCTAAAATGCCGGTGACAAGGAGACAGAGGCCAGTGAGAAGGGAGGACATTTATCTGTCAATGAAGGCAGCTGATACTAGTTAGATTTTTCATAATCTGTTAGAGTTGAGCTGACAAGCAAAGAAATTGCTTCATATTGCATATTAATTTCCCGAGAAGTCAATAGTGAGAACTCTGAAACTCCAGCTGCATAAGAGAAAGAGATTCCAAACACCATAAGATCTTGCAGTTAAACTGATCAGAATTAATGACATAATCCTTTCCGCATATGTTGTTGCTATAGGAAGCCTTCTGGGAGTACCTGTCCTAGCATTGATGTGTAACCCTTGGGCGGGGTAAACCCAGAGTCAGGTTAGCTGCAATGACCTGGCCTGCCACAGCAGCGGGGAGTTGGGGAAAAGCCTACATTCCAAGCAAGACTGAGTGTGGCTGCAAAGAAGGATGTTGGTTCCCAGGAGCAGAGGACTGGGGCAGAAATGAGGAGGTGGCTGAAGAGTGCTTCATCTCCCTGCTGTCTTAGGAGGAACGTGGCTCCTGCCCTTTCTCCCAATTATGAGATGAGAAGATGCTGACTCAGGTTTCTCTGCTCTACATGGTGCAAGTTTTTAAGTTTCCTCAAATTACGGAATACAATTGACAAGAGAAGAACTACTTTTCGGGAGCCATAAATAACCTTTATTAAAGCTTAATGTTATCAAGAGTGTATTTTTCAGAGACTTACGTAACTCATTTTCTGTTAAATAATAGGCACAGTTGCATGACTTGCAAGGTTTTGGCAGAGTAAATAGTCTTTGACAAAAATAATACATAGTCTACTTTTATTTAAAATTAGATAACGATGGACTTTAGCTATACTGAAGTACCATTTGAGGTACAATGGTGGACTTATGAACGGTCTAGGAGGTCCACAGCTTTGTGTTCATACATTAATATTTATCAGATGATAATGCTTATATTTTTCTAGCATAAATTTATTAGGTTTTAAATTTTTTTAATTAAAAGTATACAGAACTTACTATGGTCTTGCTGAAAGTGATGTCAGTTTTGTCTTTAGTTGAGTTGAAGGTTATCTTAGTTCTTTGTGAAGAGGGTTTTTTTTTTTTGGACAGGGTCTTGCTCTGTTGCCAAGGCTGAGTGCAGTGGCATGATCACAGCTCACAGCAGCCTCAAACTCTCAGGCTCAAGCAATCCTCCTGCCTCAGCCTTCCGAACAGCTGGGACTGCAGGCATGCACCACCACACCTGGCTAATCTTATTTTTTGTAGAGGTAGGATCTACTGTGTTTCCCAGACTGGTCTTGAACTCCTGGACTCAAGCAGTTCTCCCACCTCGGCCCCCCAAATAGTTGGTACTACAGGCGTACGTCACCACGCCTGGCTAATTTTTTATTTTTTGTAGAGATACAGTCTCACTATGTTGCCCAGGCTGGTCTTGAACTCCTGGACTCAAGCAATCCTCCTACCTTGGCCTCCCAAATTGCTGTTACGGGCATGAGCCACCACACCCGGCTACATAGAGGCCCTTTATACCAAAACTTCCTGAGCAGCACTATTTTACAGGCAGTGTTAACATAATTGTAACATATTTAGATCTTGGCATATTTTTCAATATTGGCTTTAGTTAAATTTTGTGCTCCATATATCTAAAACAGAACTCATTATCTTTCCTGCACGTGCTACTTTGCCTCTCACATTCTCTATTTCTAGCACCTTCACTCCTGGTCATTAGATTGGCAGCCCTTGGATTCAAAAGAAGCATCTCTGACTCTCTCTCGGTGCTCCTGTGTCAGTCAAATAACAAACCTTTGGGTACTTATGTGCAGTGGGGATACACACACACAGAGGATAAGATTCCCTTCCTCATAACCTCCTGGTCTGGTTGGGACAAGAAGTGATGGTGTGTGGTTGTGCATTCTCAGGGTAAAGCAAATGGCATTGATCAGTGCTGTGGAAATTCTCAAGGCTATTATCTCTCTGGGGCCGTTAGACTTTTAGAGGTATAGACAACAAGTGAGTCCAAAGTGAGTGAAGGCCAAGCAAGCATAAACCTTTTGGCTCTTCCTTTGCTGTTTTTGTACACCAAGGTTAAACAGCAACATAGCTCCTGGACACTTCTGCCACACAGTCTTCACTGAGTATAGCACCTGTTTCCTTAGGTGCCTGGCTGGAGGATTTTATTGTCAGGATTGCACTGACACAAATCTATCCCTAGGTCTTAGGCCCCTGCTTTCTTCAGTTTCAGGAGTCTGAGGGTTGTCCCTGCAGGCTCTCATGGGTCTACAACCTGGGAGCTGATTTTTCCCTTGAAACCTAAAGCCCTCTTGTAGGTAAATGCCACATCCTGATCCGTGAAGATGGGATATTGCCTTGCAGGGCTTTACAGCTGTGAATTAGAAAAATGTTTTTCTCTCTCTCTTTCTCTTTTTCTGTGTTCCTTTCCCAGACATAATTACTCCCTGTGGCAAAGCTCCCTGTTAGTACAGACAGTGCATTTAGCACTATTTTAACACAGGCGTGATGGTTATGTTTGCCTCTTTTATAACATGCCATTCTGTATGTAAAAACAAGTATCGTACTAAGGTCCTGCAAGAGCCTTAGTACAATAATGAGAAATCCGCATTCCACTGTCAGTCTAATGCAGGGACATCTTAGTGTCTGTTTAACTGGACTCAATTGAACACCTGGAGCTGTGTATTGAAATGGCTTGAATTTTTAACTTTTATGGTATCAATGATCCCTAATTTTAGGCCAGATGCTTTGGTTTACATTTGTGTTTTTTCAACTTTGATTCCCAAGATTGAAAGATTTATTCTGGCTGAGGATTCTGGGCGTTCCTTCTAATGGATCAGCAGAAGCAGAACAAGACCCACTTGCATAAGAGTCCCCATCACTGTGCCGAAAAGCACAGGCTGACATTTCCCTCATGTCCCCAGAAATCCCATCATCTTGATTGACTGTTGAAAACAGAGAGAAAAGCCTTCAAAACATAATTATTCGCATCTCCTTGTGGCTGTGGCATAGCTGAAGCCTGCAGTAAATTTTCAGCATCTGGATATATTTGTGTCAAATAGCTGCAGAGCTGATAGGCTGCGGAGGCTGCAGCCCGCATTGAGCAGCCTCCAGAGAGCCTTGCTCTGCCGGCCTTGAGCTCCTTCCACTGCGGCTTTTTGAGGAGGAGACACATGCCTGAGAGCGGCTCTGGGACTTGCCCTGACAAGTGAAGGGAACTTGTGGAAGGGAGGTCAGCTTTTTGCGAACTCTGAAAGTCAAAGATAGAGGTGGCTGTGTTGAGTTTAGAAAGTGAATCAATGGGACAGTTGGCACCCCTACCTTCCAAATTCAGATTAGCCTTGTAGTAAAAGTATAGTGGCAAGAATGTCACATAGACTTTTTTTTTTTTTTTGAGGTGGGGTCTCACTCTGTCGCTCAGGCTGGAGTGCAGTGGCGTGATCTCAGCTCACTGCGACCTCTGCTTCCTGGGTTCAAGTGATTCTCCTGTGTCAGCCTCCTGAGTAGCTGAGATTACAGGTCTCTAGTAGAGATGGGGTTTTACCATGTTGGCCAGGATGGTTGTCTCGATCTCCTGACCTTGTGATCTGCCTGCCTCGGCCTCCCAAAGTGCTGGAATTACAGGCGTGAGCCAACACGCCCGGCCGACTTTTTTTTTTTTTTTTTTTGAGACAAGTCTCACTCTGTCACTCAGGCTGAAGTGCAGTGGCATGGTCACAGCTCACTACAGCCTCAGCCTCCCAGGCTCAAGCAATCCTCCCACCTCAGCCTCCTGAATAGCTGGGACTGCAGGCATGCACCATCACACCCAGCTAATTTTTTAATTCTTTGTAGATACGGTGTCTCACTATGTTACCCAGGCTGGTATTGACCTCCTGGGCTCAAGTAATCCTCCCACCTCAGCCTCCCCAAAGTGTTGGTATTACAGGCATGAGCCACTGAGCCTGGCCCACATAGAGTTGTAAATCATGAAACTGTTCTGGACAGAAAGCAGATGGCAGAATCACAATCTTCTGTGTCCAGAGATTATTTGAGATTATTTTAAGAACCTAAGTACACCTTTTAGAGCAGGGATTTCTTGGATTTGAATTTTTAGGTTACAATTTGCTTTTTAGTTGTATTGCCTGCAAAAAATCTTAAATCTCTTTGCTGTTTGTGACATTGTGCATACTTCTCAATGATCTTCCCTCTTCATACTTTAACTTACTCCTCTCCTTGCCCAGATCACTAAAGCGGCATGACTCAGCCAGCAGAATTGTCATCATCCCCAGGCCTTGAGCAGCTAGTTTGAAAAACTGAAATAGATCTGGCCTCATTGAATGCTGTTTTAGGTGAAGGAAGGTAATTTTGCTCTGGCAGGTTGGCGAATTAGTATGTTACAGCTGTAAATGTATTTCTCCTAAGGTGGTTTTCTAGCATCGTGTGCCTCAATTCAGTTGTTTCTTTAAAGTTCAGCATTGCTTTTTTTTTTCACCTATTCATTCTTGGTTAATTAGGAAAAGACAGCATCTGTTGTGGGTTTTGTTGTCTGGTGTAGATGACTGTTTAATCAGAGAAGGCATTATGTCTTGCAGTTAGCAGTTTGACCCTTTGCAGCACAGGCTTGGGGCGTGACCTCAGGATGTGACTGCACCAAACCTTACTATTTTATAGAAAATGGGGATAATAATTCTGATCTAACAATTTGGATGATTAAATGAGATAATACATGTAAACCTCTGAGCTCAGTGCCTGGCAGTTATCATTAGGTTATTTAACATGGATTCTTTTTTTTTCTTTTTCTTTTTGAGATGGAGTTTCACTCTTTGTTGCCCAGGCTGGAGTGCAGTGGCACGATCTCGGCTCACTGCAACCTCTACCTCCCAGGTTCAAGCGATTCTCCTGTCTCAGCCTCCCGAGTAGCTGGGATTACAGGTGCCCACCACCACACTAGGCTAATTTTTGTATTTTTAGTAGAAATGGGGTTTCACCAACATGGATTCTTAGATGACTTGATCTAGGGAGTCTAGGGTTGCAGCATTATTTTGTAGACTCGATGCGGACTGCCTTAATATTTTACAGCATTTTTATTTTGTCTTCTTGTTTTTTATTGTGATAAAAACATAAAACATTAAATTTCCCATCTTAGCCATCCTCAGGCATATAATTTAAAAGTGTTAACCGTATCCACATTGCTATGCAATCAATCTCCAGGACTTTTTCATCTTGCAAAACTGAAATTCTGTACCCATTTAATACTAATTTTCCCTTCCTCCCCCGTCCTCCTCCCAGCCCTTGACAACCACCTTTCTACTTTGTTTCTGTGATTTTGATTACTTCAGATACTTGATGTGAGTGGAATAATACAGCATTTGCCCTCTTGTGACTGGCTTGTTTCCCTTAGCATGATATTCCTGAGCTTCATCTATGGTGTGGCATGCCATAGAATTTCCTTCTTTTAAGGCTTCATAATGTCACGTTGTGTATATATTTATCTGTATACATGACAGTTTCTTTATCTGTTCGTCTGTTAATGGACATGTGGGCTGCTTCCACCTTTTAGCTATTGTGAATCATGCTGCAGTGAACACAGGTGTGCAAATTATCTCTTTGAGATTCTGCATCTTGTATATGTCTTTTGGATATAGATACCCATGTCGTGGATGGAATATGTCCCCACAAAATTCACATGGCGAATTCCAAGCCCTGATGTAATGGTATTTGGAAGCAGGGCATTTGGGAGGAGACTAGGTCATGAGGGTGAGGTGCTCATGAATGGGATATAGTGTTCTTATAAGAAAAGGCCAGAGAGCTAGCATGCTGTCTTTCTGCCATGTGAAGACACAACGTAAAGGTGGCAGTCTGCCACCTGGAAGAGGGCCTCCAACAGAAATTGACCATTCTGGCACCCTGATCTTTGTCCATTCTGGCACAGTGAGGTCTCTAATTGTGAAAAATAAATGTGTGTTGTGTGTAAGCCGCCCAGTCTATAACACCTTTTTATAGCAGCACAAACTAAGACAACGTAAAAATGGGATTGCTAGATTGTATGGTAGTTCTATTTTAATTTTTGAGAAAATTCCATACTGTTTTATTTTTATTTTTATTTTTTTTTTTGAGACAGAGTTTCACTTTGTCACCCAGGCTGGAGTGCAGTGGCGTGATCTTAGCTCACTGCAACCTCTGCCTCCTGGGTTCAAGTGATTTTCCTGCCTCAGCCTCCCAAGTAGCTGAGATTATAGGCACCTACCACCACGCCCAGCTAATTTATTTATTTTTTATTTTTATTTTTTTTAGTATAGACAGGGTTTCACCTTGTTGGCCAGGCTAGTCTTGAACTCCTGACCTCTGATGATCTGCCTGCTTTGGCCTCCCAAAGTGCTGGGATAACAGGCTTGAGCCACCGTGCCCAGCCATACTGTTTTCTATAATGGCTGCACCATTTTACATTTCCACCAACAGTGCGTAGTGTTCTGATTTCTCTGCAGCCTTGCCAACACTTGCTATTTTCCTTTCTGTTGATAGTGGCCATCCTAATGGGTGTCAGGTGATATTGTGATTTTGATTTGCATTTCTCTTATTGAGGTATTGAGCGTCTTTTTGTATGCTTCTTGGCCATTTGTATATATTCTTTGGAGTATTGTCTATCAAGTCCTTTGCCCATTTCAAAATCAGGGTTTTTTGGTTGTTGCTGAGTTGCAGAAGTTTCTTATTCTGGGTATTAATTCCTTATCAGATACAGTTGTCTCTCTGTGTGTTCCTTATCTTTGGATTCAATTAACTGCAGATTGAAACTATTTGGGAAAAAAACCAATACAAATAACGACACAACAATAAAAAATACAAATAAAAAATACTGCCTAACAACTATTTATATAACAGTCACATGGTATTAGGTATTATAAGTAATCTAGAAATGATTTAAAGTATACAGGAGAATGTGCATAGGCTGCATGTGAATATGACACCATTTGATATCAGGGACTTGGGCATCCACTGATTCTAGTATCCATTGGTTCTGGAACCAGTCCTCTGAAGATGCCGAGGGATGACTATATAAGATTTGCAAATATTTTCCCCCATTCTGTAAGCTGCGTTTTTACTCTGTTGACTGTTTCCTTTGATTTGCAGAGGGTTTTTAAGTTTGATGTAGTCCCAGTTTATTTTTGTTTTTGTGGCCTACGCTTTTGGTGTCGTATCCAAGAAATCATTGCCAAACCCATTGTCTGGAAGCTTTCCCCCTGTTTTCTTCTAGGAGTTTTATAGTTTCATGTGTTAGTTTAGGTCTTTAATCCATTTTGAATTAATTTTTGTATATGGTATAAGGTGTGGGTCCAATTTCATTATTTTGTTTGTGGATATCCAGTTTTCCCAGCACCATTTTGTTGAAGAGACTGTCCTTTCCCCATTTTGTAGTCTTGGTACCCTTGTCAAAAGTCATTGGCCATATATGCAAGGGTTTATTTCCAGGCTCTCTATTCTGTTCCATCGGCCTATATAAGTTTCTGTGCCACTACCACACTGTCTGATTACTGTCATTTTGTAGTATGTTTTGAAATCAGGGAGTATGAGGCCTCAGCTTTGCTCTTTTTCAATATTTTTTGGCTATTTGGGGTTCCTTGAGATTGCATTTGAATTTTATGGGTTTTTTTTTTTTCCTTTTTCTACAAAGAATATCATTGAAATTTTGATAGGAATTGCATTGAGTCTTGACTGTCTTAGATTTTATCGGGAAGAAGCTGTTTACCAGGCTGAGCAAGAAATGTGAGCTGTTGGATAGAAAACACTTCTTTTGCTGCGGAGGGGCTTGCGTTGCCAAGTGCGTGTTCCGATTGAGGCTGGATAAAAGAACGGCACAATCAAACCGTGCAGTGCAGTCTGTGAACAAATTGTCTCCAGCTCGAAATGATGAAAAGAATATTTTAACAACTTTTGACTTCATTTAATGATCTAAACAGTGATTATTTCTTATTCTTGCTGAGAAATACCGGTTTTATGTGAAAAACCCTCAATTAACAATTTAAGATAGCAAATGACTAATGGAAATTTTTGCCAGAGGAAGAAGTCAGATAGGAGCTCTCTGTTTTTGTTGCTGTTGTTACTTGCCAAATAATATTTGCTACATTTTTGGGTCAGTAATGAGGCTTAAGTGAGAATAAGTGGGTTTTGTATATCTAAGTCCCTAATTAACAACAGTGATACCTTTTTGAATTCCTTCCATGGTCTTATCACCTGCTGTGAAGTAGGTGAAGTAGGCAGAACAGGAGTTTTTGGAAAATATTCAGTATGAAGATACTGAGCTTAGAGAAGTCAGGTGATTTGTTTGAGGCCTGATAGCCCACAGGGACAGAGCCAAGACTTCAACCCATGCATCACAATACTGCGGCCTCTGCTTTCTCCAGAAAAAAAAAAAAAACATTTTCTTATTTTTTCAAAATTTTATTTATTGTTTTGAGACAGAGTCTCGCTCTGTCACCCAGGCTGGAGTGCAATGGTGTGATCTTGGTTCACTGCAACCTCCGCCTCCTGGGTTCAAGCGATTCTCCTGCCTCAGCCTCCTGAGTAGCTGGGATTACAGGCACTCGCCCACCACGCCCGGCTAATTTTTTTTTTGTATTTTTAGTATAGACGGGGTTTCACCATGTTGGCCAGGCTGGTCTCAAACTCCTGACTTCAGGTGATCCACCGGCCTCGGCCTCCCGAAGTGCCGGGATTACAGGCATGAGCCACAGCGCCTAGCCAACAAAACCATTTTAGATAGCATATAATAAATTTATTAGTAATTCCAAATTCTGTGATCTCACTTAATAGAAACCACACATTCTACTAGTAGGCCAATTAATTAGCCTTAAGGCATTGCCTTTACACAGGAGTCAAAAGATTATGGGAGACATTAATCATCTTAAAATTCCAGAAAGGAAGGTAGAGGGCATTTATTTTCCGCTAAGGGGTTTAGAACAGAGATACGTAACTTAAGTATAGCTTACTAAGAGCCAGTTGTTTTGATTTTTATTTTACTTCATTTAAATGTGCTTCTTCAATTAATAGCAGTAAATACTCATCAATATGTATGATCTGTGATAGTATTCTAGATAATATATATAGTTAAATTATTTGATGTTATTTAGAATCCAAACCTAATGACACAGATAAAGCAGATGTGTTTTTCAGTATCCTTCCGAATCCCAAATCCGTGGGCAAGGTAACACCTGTTTGGAGTTTCTCTAAAAATTACCTTTCTCTGCCTTTAAAAAATATCTTGAATGCGGCCAGGCGTGGTGGCTCATGCCTGTAATCCCAGCATTTTGGGAGGCCGAGGTGGGCGGATCACGAGGTCAGGAGATCAAGACCATCCTGGCTAACATGGTGAAACCTCCGTCTCTGCTAAAAGTACAAAAAAAAAAAAAGAAGGCCGGGTGCGGTGGCTCAAGTCTGTAATCACAGCACTTTGGGAGGCCGAGGTGGGTGGATCACGAGGTCAGGAGATCGAGACTATCGTGGCTAACATGGTGAAACCCCGTCTCTACTAAAAATACAAAAAATATTAGCCAGGCATGGTGGCGGGAGCCTGTAGTCCCAGCTACTCGGGAGGCTGAGGCAGGCGTGAACCCGGGAGGTGGAGCTTGCAGTGAGCAGAGATCGCGCCACTGCACTCCAGCCTGGGCAACAGAGTGGGACTCCATCTAAAAAACAAACAAAAATATCTTGAATGCTTTTGAGTGACTCCTTCTAACTTGTCACAATGGTGATGTTCAGTGATTAAAATGTGGAATCCTGAGGGAGTTCATTGCATGTCACAAATCAGTACTTCTACTCCCCTCAGCACTAAGCATTGAATACTGCTTTTTTTTGAAGGGGTGAGGGGGAAGAAGCTGTTTTAAATTGCAGATGTATTTGGATTTCTTTTTTATGTAACTCACATTTCTTATTTTCCAAAAACTCTGGAAACGAGTTGCATATTTCCACTGATGTCAAAACTGATGATCCTCACAAAGAAGCACAAATATGATATAAAACTATAAAACAAAAATATTGATAGCAAGACTTTGACCAGATTCCAGAAGAATGTATTTGTTACATCTCTGTCACTTTTTTTCCTCACTGCATTTCTAATAGTTTAATAAAAAATCTCTTATGAAGAAAAGATTGCCTTTCTCTTGCGTCAAACATTCTCATAACTTTTCATTCTATCTTGAAGTTTTCCTTTTTTCTTCTAAACTTTGAAGAAACAGAATCCTTTTGATGTCTTTGAGTATTTGCCATTGATTAGAGCACTTGGAAAGGAATTTTGCTTGGAAATAAATGTCTTTTCCCTGCATTCTAAATATTTCCTTTGCATAAATGCATTTCATTTCTTCTTTTCTTGACCTTGACATAGTTGCTGGCAGAGTACAGCAAGGAACTCTATGAATTTTGAGTTCCTTGGCTTCTACTGATTTCCTTTTCTTATCCTGGACATTCAGGGCTGGCTTGGAGAGACCCGGATTAGAAATCTAGAGAAGAAAAGAGATTTTTTGGCTGTCGCAGTTCTATCAGGCACAAAGTCAAGAATATTAATGAATTCATTATTTATAACCCCTTTGTTGGACCCACCGTACTATACATGAGTGAGAAACAGCGGCAAGGAGCTCATAGTGCAGCCTCTGAGATTCCCGTGTGGGAGAGGTAGGCCTGGGAATATTGAGCAGTGGTGGCAAGTCCAGGAGAACAAGGGGCAGAATCCAGGGCAGGTGGCCGAGACAGGAAGGGATCGGGAGGGCCCAGAGCACTAGAAAGGCAGGTGCTGGGGTGACAGAGTTAAGGAAATCAATACTGACCACCAATATAGACACTGCCCACCAATGTAGACTCTGACCCTGACCCAGAGGCGGGTCCATACTCCTGTACTGAAGTAGGGGAGAGCGAGTGAGCAGGGCTGTCAGAAGTGTTCTTGTGGGAGAGAAAGATGACAAAGCATCTTTGCTTCTCCTTGAGGCTGCCAAGAAAAGCCAGGAGTTTGAAGAGGTTTTAGCTGTAAGTTTCCAAACATCATGCTGTCTTCAATTGAATCTTTCCTTGGCATCTAGAAAGGTGGCTGAAGAATAGTGGGAGGAAACCTGGGCTAGAATTTTGCTTTCTGTAGGAATTACCTGAACCGCAGTTTCTTCATAGGTAAAGTGAGGAATCTTAAGAATAGGATGATGTGTGTACAAGTGGCTCACACAGTGCCTGGCACCTATTAGGGCATCACTAAATGTTTATTCACTGACCTGTGAATAGGTATGTTAGGATTTTTCCAAACTCTTTTAGGTCTTTTATTACTGAATTCATGATCATAAACATATTTTCTTATAATTTTCCTAATGTTTACTTTTACTAGAAAAGTTGAACGTGCTCATTGTATACATTTTATAAAATGTAAAATACAGAAAATACAGAAAATGCAGAAAAATAAACTTCAATTCTGAAAGTATTTAATTTAAAGTGAAAATTAAATGACCCAATATCTCGGCACTTAGCAATAACCAGTCGCTCGTGTTGCCCAAACTGGAGTGCAATGATGTGATCTCGGTTCACCACAACATCCGCCTCCCACGTTCAAGTGATTCTCCTGCCTCAGCCTCCTGAGTAGCTGGGATTACAGGTGTGTATCACCATGCCTGGCTAATTTTGTATGTTTAGTAGAGACGGGGTTTCTCCATGTTTGTCAGGCTGGTCTCAAACTCCTGACCTCAGGTGATCCACCCACCTTGGCCTCCCAAAGTGCTGGGATTACAGGTGTGAGCCACCACGCCTGAGCCACCACACCAGGCCTCCTTCAATCTTTTCTATACATTCATTAGGAAGTGTTCTCTATTTGCCTTTAGCACATATGTATGCATATATTGAAGGAGTGTGGATTAGTGGTTAACAAGTATCATATTTGGCATCAAATTGGCATAGGCTCTAGTCTGGTCATTGTATACCCTTGGGTTAGCTATTTGTCCCCTTTTGACCTGTTTCCTCATCAGTAAAAGGAGGTAATACTGCCCACTTCATTGTGCAGAAATGAGGAATAAATGAGAATATATGTATAGGGCTTAAGAAATTACCCGGGAAGTAATGAGCACTCAACCGACGTTAACATTGCTTATTATTGTTGAATTGTGAATATTAATGACAAAAACAATTATATGAGAAAGGTGCTTTATAATTTCAGTGTTAAAATAGCCAATGATCTTAGCATGTCTTGTCCGGCATGTTGTAAAACATTTGGGTATTGAAGAGTTCCTGAAAGAAATTCATGCGACCTTTTAAGGACATCGTAGCAGTGCTTTGCTTTTTATAAGAAATCATTAATTACAAATGTCAAGTTAATGGCAGCTTAAGAAACAACTGAGTATATTGTGGTCTAGGAAGTGTCCTTTTGGTAGGCTTTTCATGTTCTAGTAACAAATTATCTTCAGAAGCATTTTTAACTACAATAAATATATTGAGACAAAATTTAAAAAAATTTTGGAGTCGGATAACTTGGGTAGAACATGGAAACATACTTGTCTGGCTCTATAATAATAAAATTGCCTTCTATGTTTTATGGTATACCTTGTGCTTTTCAAAGTGTTTTCATTTGCATTATCTTATTCACTTCTCCACAAAATTCTAATAGCTAGCTAGATATTAAAATGACAATCTCTAATTTAAAATTTTTCTTCTATGTCTTTGAAAATTTTCTAGGTTTTACTTTTCATAATTGCTTATTGACTCCACTTAGAATTTATTTGGGGAGTTAGCTTCATTTTTTCCATATTGATAGTGATTTATTGTTGTTCATTTTTAACCTGATTATTTTATATGTCAGCTCTGACATATATCAAATTGTCCTACACTTATGGATCTCATTTGATCTTTGCAAGTCTGGGCCAGTATCACATTATTTTAATAACTATGGCTTTACAATAAGTCTTGATGAGAAGTACTCTACCTTGCTTTCATTTTTAAGATGTTCCTAACTATTCCGGGCACTTTGCATTTTGACACAAACTTAAGAATCAGCTTGTCAAAGTCTGTAAGATACACAGTCAGTATTTTAATTGGAATGGCATTGAATTTATGTATCAATTTGGGAGCAGTTCATAACTTTATAATATCGAGCCTTTCTATCCATAAACATGGTATAGCTCTACATTTATTTTGTTCCTGTTTAAAGTAACTGATAAAGTTTTATAATTATATTAAAAAATTCTTATGCATCTTTTGCTATTTATATTCTTAAGTGTGTCATTTTTTTCTTGCTGTTGTGAATGGAATCTTTAAAAACATATATGTTCTGTTTGTTCCTGAAATATATTAAGTAAAGTGATTTTTAAAAATATACTGGTCTTATATTTAGCTACCTTGCTGAATTGTCATTCAGATAATTTACCGAAAGATTCCATAGCCAATCATATTGTCTGTGAATAATGTCTTTTGTAATCCTCATACCTTTTTTATTGTCGTTTCATTGCACTAGCTCATACCTTCAGCACAGGGTTCAACAGAAGTGGTAAAAAGCAGGCATTAACTATGATATTTGCTATAGGATTTCAATACACTGTATCAAGTTAAATTCCCATTCATCTCAATTTACTGAGTTTTCATAAATTGGTGTAAATTTTATTAAGTACTTTTCTACTTTCACCGAACTTAATTTTCTGTGTCTTAATATCTTAATTGTATATTTCTTAATTATGTAATCATGTAATATTCAGATATTGAGGCAAAGACTTTTCCAGATGAAAAAGACCTAACAGTTTTTATCACAATGAGGAAAAGGAACCAATATGATTAATTAAGCAAATTACTGAAAGATGCACTTACGTGGGTGTGATAATAGGAGCATATCATAGTTGATGAGATCCGAAGTGATGTCATCCTGTAGGAATGAGGGTGGAAGGGATTGCATAGGGTGCTTGAAGAAGTGGTGAATGTCTGAACTGCAGTGGAGGGAATAGGAAGCAAAATGAATAGAGGTAGTGAACAGCTACAGTGTACTTAAAATTACATTTTTAATAGCAGCTGTTGGTAGAGTCTTAGCAGTCCTGCTCCATAGCTGGAGTTTGTGGGCAGAACATAGGAATTCAGGTAGTTGGATTGATCTAAGGATGTGAGTTTGCAAGCTGGTTGTAGCACAGGGGAGGGAACTACTGAGGGAACTGGTTTGAAAAAGCAGCTGATTTGGTCAATCATAGGTTGGCAGGATGTGCTGCTTAAGGAAGGAAATGGAACAGGAACAGGTCTGATACACATGGACATATTTTTGCTAATGAGGCAGTGGGAAAGACGGAAGAAGATTAGGATCAGATGGGGGGAAATTCAAGTAGAACATTTCAGAGAGAATGGCCCAGTCCGGGTTATGGCCATGCACTTTGGAGTTTTTGATAGAATGGTTTCCAGAAAGCACTGTAGATGAGTCAGTTCTGGTCAGACTGCCTGAAAATGAAATGAACCACTTGTTCTCAGCTGTGATAAATACAGTTTTATTACTGCAGGACTATTTAGTTTATGTGTTGAGTCTACTAAAGTGTTGAGCAGTTATACAAATGTATTGCTATCTGAACTATGCGTCATTTTCATGAATTGTGGTGTGCGGTGTTATAAAATCCTTGCATTTTATAGCGATTAGATTTTTAGTAATCTTTTTAAGTATGTTTGAATATAGTGTTTCCTTGATTTTTTTTTTTTTTTTTTTGGTATGGAAGTATTTTCCTTTGAATTCCTTATCGTATGCTAGTTTGTACCTCTTTAGCATTTAGGAGAAATGCTAAAGGAGAAAATCTTTGTTTCCTCAAATAGTTTTTCACTCTGAGAAATGTTGAAAAATGTGAAGAAATAGATTTTCAGCCTGGGGAATTATTTATTCCTGGCAATTTGGCATGAACTTGACTGCTCTTAGAGAGACTATAGTAAGTGGTAAATAAATAATCTTCCCATTGGATTCAGCAAAGGTCAGAATCTAATGAGGATCTAGACTTTATTTTGAAATCCACAATTTTTAGGGCCTTGGAAAACTTGCAAAGGATTCAGAAAATCACTGTGGAAGAAAAAGGTTTTAGACATATATATTTTCTTATCTTTTTTTTTTTTATTTTCTGGAGAAGTAATAGTCCATGCGTGAATTAAGAAAGATTTTCAACAACTTGAAAAATTATAGGCTAACCACTTTGGTTAGGTTTTCTTCATTTGCACCAAGAATTTAACAAACTTAATTAAATTCAGGTCAATGCCATGAAAATTATTGTCTGGTTAATCCGGTTATGATCAATTTGATAAATGCAAACTTCAAAGGTGGTTCCTTGCCGGGGTCCTGCAGAGTGTGTGAAACAAAAGTGAGATATGGTTTTTGCCTTCAAGGAAATTTTGCTATCAGGATAGAGGTGCGACATTCTGTATTAGTCAGAGTTCTCTGTAGGGACAGAACTAACAGGATAGATGTATATATGAAGGGGAATTTAGTAACGAGTGCTGACTCATACGATCACAAGGTGAGGTCCCACAATAGGCCATCTGCAAGCTGAGGAACAAGGAAGCCCGTCCAAGTCCCAAAGCCTCAAAAGTAGTGAAGCCAGCAGTGCAGCCTTCAGTCTGTGGCCGAAGGCCCAAGAGCCCCTGGCAAAGCACTGGTGTAAATCCAAGAGTCCCAAAGCTGAAGAACTTGGAGTCTGATGTTTGAGGGCAGGAAGCATCCAGCACGGGAGAAAGATGGGGGCCAGGAGACTCAGCAAGTCTTGTCTTTCAGCCTTTTTCTGCCTGCTTTTATTCTGGCTGTGCTGGCAGCTTATTAGCTGGTGCCCACCCGGATTGAGGATGGGTCGGCCTCTCCCAGTCCACTGACTCAGTGTTAATCTTCTTTGCCAGCACCCTCATAGGCACACCCAGGAGCAACAATACTTTGCATCCTTCAGTCCTATCAAGTTGACACTCAATACTAACCATCACACATTCATTGGTGAAAAATCAGCAATATAAAACAGCATATGGTTGCATAAATTCTCAGGATTCTTTCAACTGTGGATCTATGAAAACTAATTTTATATCTGAAAACATCATCTCATATGCATGGAAAAGCCTGAATATTAATGTTTTCTACTAAAAATTAAATGATATGTTATCTACACTGATATTAAATAAATTCCAAATTGTGCCAATTTGAATTTACATCAGAAATGTTCGTTAATTAGCCGAGTTTTGTTTATTATAATATTTCTGTAGTACTTGCTGTATACCTGTACTAAGTTCTTTACAAGTGATAGCTCATGTCACCTGTCTTAGGAACTGTATGAGATAGGTCTGTTACTATCATCACTCTTTTAAACATAAGGAAACCAGACAGGTTAAGTAATTTACCCAAAATCACATACCCAATATGTGGAGGAGCTAGGATTTGAATTCTGCCAGTCTACCTTCACCAGGCTATGCTGCCTCTTTATTTTTAATAGCCTCAGTTTTATTGTTTACCATCTGTTTGCAATTTTATCCTTTAACTGCCCCAACCATTCCATTCTTTTTTTTTTTAGGTAGAGTCTCACTCTGTTGCCCGGGTTGGAGTGCAGTGAGCATGATCTTCATTCACTGCAGCCTCCGCCTCCCAGGTTCAAGTGATTCTCCTGCCTCAGCCTCCCGAGTAGCTGGGATTACAGGCGCCCACCACCATGCCTGGCTAACTTTTGTATTTTTAGTAGAGACGGTGTTGCACCATATTTGCCAGGCTGGTCTTGAACTCCTGGTCTCAAGTGATCTGCCCACCTTGGCCCTCCAACGTGCTGGGATTATAGGCGTGAGCCACTGCACCTGGCCCCATTCCATTCTTTAATGAATGAAGTAAAAGTAGATACGAATCAGAAAATAAGTAGGAAAACTGCAGATTCTGGGGGGATTACTTTTGCCATTCTCGGGCATATTTTTAATAATGGTGAGCAAATTGATACTTTGGGTTGATACCCCTCTTTCTTCTCTGGCCAAATAAGAGACAGAAACCACAGAAAACAGCATAGTACGTTTTCTATAACTGTAGTATAATTTTGAGTGCATATTTCTTTGAATTTGGTTTAAAGGAACCTCAAATTTTCCATCGATTGCTAAAGTTATGTGTTCTGTGACTATCTACTTTAGTTGTGATTCTCTCAGTTGTTTGCTTAGGAGTCTCATCCAGTATAGTGATGGAGCTGGGATATCAATCATTCAGGAAACTGACTCCATCAGTGTGTCAGTCACATAAGAGTAATCAATGTAGGGTTCCCAAATCTCATTACTTCTATTCCTTCTGCTGTGCCTATGGCACAGGATGACAGTTTTGGAAAGACAGTAAGGGTAATGATAAGAAACATCAAAGTATCCTTTTCTTGAGTTCTGATTTTAAAATAAGCCTCATTTAGCCAAGAATTGACAATGACTAGACCAAGACATGTTTGACCTGTGTCTGTCATTAGCTTCCTCAGTAACTGAATGAAGAAATCAACGTCACCTGATACCTGTTAACTTCTAAAGTCTATTAGTGTCACATTGAGGTCCTGGCACTGCCCTCACTATTATTCAAGGTCTTGTTTTACTGGAAGAACTTGATCTCGACGGCTATCTGCTTTTGTTTTTCCCTAATAGTTCTGGACAGATATGTTGATTTGTAACATCAGATGAGATGCACACGTGTGAGTCCAGACTGAAATAGCTTTGTGAGTCTTGCTGTGAAATCTCATTTGTGTTTTTCTGGCCATTCCAGGGAAATTGCAGGCAGACATGGGTAGGATGCTTTTCTTCTAAAAACTTGATGTATTAGATATGAAATTAATTATTGGCCCCTAGTTTCAGTGCTTAGAGTAATTTAGGGAAGCCCATTACACAAACTGGCATTAGCATCCTCCCCACCTCCTTTTATCATCGTCATTATCATCATTACTGAGGTTGAAAAAAAGACACCACTTTCTGGGTGGAATTTTCACTGGATGAGGGGCTCCCAGGGCTGCTGAGGCCTCACTCCTCCTGTGGCTCTCTGATGACTCTGGCATTGGACTCTTGTCGGGAAGGCTGATGACAGTCCCATTGTGGGCTCCCATTATCTGTTGGAGATGGACTGGAAGGTGACGTATATTCAGGATTTGTTTGATAGGCACCATTTGGTTCTATCTGAGTTATTTTATCATATCTACTGATACACTGAATTACTTGCCAGATGAATCAACAAAGGCCTATCTCAATTTGGATGGATTTCCTCAGAGAAGAGAAAGGCAGCTCTAGATAAATATGAGTGCAAGATAAAATGTTCGTAGAGAAATGGGAGAAATAGGGCTGGGGTAGACAGAAACCTTAATGTAGGATTCAAAAGATGCTATTTGTTACTATGAATTTTATTGTACACAAAAAAGTAGTTTTATCCTAACACCATTAAAATATGATATTTACTTATACAATTTGCATTAACATTTCCCTCAAGGTAGGCATGTGTGCCTGATATGCCTATGAATATATTTTTGTGTCTGATGATAGTCTCCCATTTCTTTGTCATTCATTTCTTATTGCAGTCTCTTTTTCTACCTCTTTTTGAGTCTGAGCACTTGAACATTGGGAATAGATTTGATGGTCACTTAGCAAAATCTCAATTTCCCTCAGTGCATGTCTTTTACAAATTATACCTGTACTTTCCTTTAAACAACATTTTTTTTTTCAGTCAGGGTCTCGCTCTGTTGCCTAGGCTGGAGTGCAGTGGCACTATCTCAGCTCACTGCAACCTCCACCTCCTGGCTTCAATTGAGTCTCCTGCCTCAGCCTCTTGAGTAGCTGGGATTACAGGCATGCATCACTGCACCCAGCTAATTTTTATAATTTTAGTAGAGACGTGGTTTTGCTATGTTGGCTAGGCTGGTCTTGAACTCCTGGCCTCAAGTGATCAACCCACATCGGCCTTCCAAAGTGCTGGGATTACAGGTGTGAGCCACCGGGTCCGTCCTTTAACAACACCTTTTTAATGGAAATCTTGTTCTGAACAGTTTTCGTTCCAGCATTCTGAAGATGGCATCTGCATCTTCTGAGCATGCTTCTTCCTCAGCCGTTTCCTCTGGGCTCTGATCTCTTTGCTGTGTGGTGGAAGGGATGGAAAGGAGGGAAAGGACAATTGGAACCAGCAACGCAACATTGTGAATGCTCAGCCCTTCCAAACAACATAGTCACCATAGAAACAACTTTCTAAAGTAACATAATAACATTTTCTTGAAAAGATAACCTGTTTGCCATTCTTGGAGGCAGGGGAGGCAGAGGCCCAGACATGCTGTGGCCCAGACAGCAGCTTCTAAGCGGATGGAGCCTGAACCCACCCAGTTTGGACAAAGAAGCCTCCATACTCCCTGTGAAAAAGATTTCCAGAAGCTGTTGTGAAAAAACCACCATCACCACCACCACACACACCCCACCCACCCACCAACACTAAAGATCATTCTTGAGTCTGATTTGAAAACTAGGGTCACATGTTATCAGGTTGTTTTGTGTATTAAATGGGTGTTAATACAGGTAGGTTACTTAGAATAGTTCCTAGGGTATAGTAATTGTGTGAGTTTTAGAAATTGTTGTTATTATTGCTGTTTAGTGTATATTATTCTTAAATGTTTATAAAATGACAATATCTGATGTTGGCTAAGTAGAGGAAATGAGTATTTTCATACATTGTAGGTAAGAGTATATATTGGATCATTATTTTGGGAAGAAAGTTTTACAATATGTCTCAAAAGTCAAACTAAATGAAATCTTTAATAAATAAAATTCTACTTTGGGAATTTAACCAATAATCTATACAATTATTTGCCCCAATGGATATTCATAGCAGTGTTACTTACAATGGTAAAAAGTTAGCAAAAACTTGACCTCCAGGTAAATAGGTGGTTTGAATTTATTCATTGAATTTCATTTACTTTCTAAGCTTCATTAAAACTGTAGTAAAAATTTTTTTTTTATTGAGGGAAAATTTACACAAAGGAAAATATACATATATTAAATGGACAATTTGATGATTTTTGAGAAATGTATACACACATGTTACCAAGCTCCTAATCAAGAATATCTCCATCCTCCTAGAACGTTTCCTCTTGCCCTATTCCGTGCAGTCTCCACCTCCATGGACTACACTGTTCAGATTCCTCTCACCATAGATTAGTTTTCCTTGTTCTTCGACTTCACATAAATGAAATAATACAGTGTGGGCTCGTTTGTGTCTGGCTTCTTTCATTGAAGTTACTATTTCTGAGAACCCATTCATGTCATTGTTTTGTTTTGTTTTTGAGATGGAGTCTTGCTCTGTTGCCCAGGCTGGAGTACAGTGGCGCAATCATGACGCACTGCAACCTTCTCCTCCTGGGTTCAAGTGATTCTCCTGCCTCAGCCTCCCGAGTAGCTGGGACTACAGATGTGTGCCACCACGCCTGGCTAATTTTGTATTTTTTGTAGAGACAGGGTTTACCATGTTGGTCAGGCTGATCTCGAACACCTAACCTCAGGTGATCCACCCGCCTTGGCTTCCCAAAGTGCTGGGATTACAGGCGTGAGCCACCACGCCTGGCCCATGTCTTTGTTATATCAGTAGTTATCCCTCTACTTTTGATTCCCATATCCTCTGTCCCTTTATTGTTGAGTAGTGTTCTATTTTTGAATATACTAGAATTTATTTTCCTATTGCTGATACTGTTGTTGTTGTTTTTTGACTGTCATGAATAAAGCTGTTATGAATGTTCTTGTTACCAAAACAAAAACAAAAACAAAAAAAAAAAAAAAGAAAGAAAACTAGGGTCGAATCCTGCAAATGCATTCAGGTGACGGGGTCCCACCCTAACAGCCATGTCAGTAGCTCTCATCCATCACGCCTGGGAAAATGCTCCATTCCGCATTCCTTAGCTCTGGTTCTGGTTTCAGACTTCACTTTATATTGGCGGGGTTTTAAAGCTAGAGGAGTCTTTACCTACTTACTCTTATGTACAGATCTGAATATGGAGGTCAGGAGGGGCAAATGACATGTCCTAAGTCAGAGGAGATTCAACAAGAAAACCAGACAGTCAACGACTGAGCCCCTGGCATATGCTGGGCATTGGTGAGCTGTAGGGATGTGGTGATGGAGAAAACAGAGTCCCTTCTTCAAGGAGCTCAATCCAGCAAGGGAGGCAGATTCTTTGCAGGCAGGACCAGGCTTCCCTACAGCAGAAGGAAACTAAATCAGGGTAATGAGCCTCAGCAGGGACGGGCCTCCCCACTGCCCTGAGAGGACACAGGGCTGTGGCATGGTCCTGCTTTGACCGGCTAGCTGTGCAGTAGGGCCAGGTGGGGCCTGGAGTGGCCTGAGCTAGGGGCTGACATGAGCTCCCCCAAGGCACTGCATAAGTAACGTTAGCCTCTATTTGCACAGCAAAATCAAGGACATGGTTTTCTAGAACACAGGCTGCACCCTCTCCCCCAAGCCTAGCAAATGGGCTACGCTGGTTGGTGGGCCCTTGTTTGTGACAGGGTTGGAATACACCACAGGGTTCCGAGTGCTGAGTTGTGGCCCACAGGTGACTGGCAAGGGGAGGCAGAGCTGTAGAGCCCTTGGGAGCCATGGAGGGCTTGCTGCCTGCCACGAAATGCTCTCTCAGCAGCTGCTGGTCCAGCTGTGGGCAGCCGTACAAGCTGTTTACAGCATCCTGGGACAGGTGCTTGCAAACATATGGATGCCATGGGGGATCCGAGCCTGCAGTGCCATGGTGGCGTTTGTGGCCAAGAGACTATGTGCAATCAGAAGGAGGGAAGAGCTGGCCCAGCAGAATTTGGTCCAGGGTGAGGGCCACAGAAAGGTCAGAGGCAGGATGGGGCTGGCACCCAGGCTGGTGGTGGCCTCACATCACCTATGCCTGAGGCCAGTCCTGGATTGCCCCAGAAGAAACAATTTCTTTACTCCAAAGAAATCCAAAGGAGTTAAAAAGTGAGAGCCCAAATCCAATCTGTGCTCAGGGAGCAGGCCTCTCTGCAGGGGGCAAGGGCACGGCTGGAGACGGAGGTCCTGCAGCTGCAGCTGAGGCCCCCACTCTTCCTGCACTGGGCAGAGAGCCGTGATGGGGCCTCAGCAGGAGTGCATGGAGGAGGACGCCTACTGTCTGGACCTGGACCGGAGGCTTGGCAAGATGCAGGACAACTGGAAGCCGTGAGTCAGACCCGCGACTGGCTCAAGAAGATTGCACAAGACCTGGTCTAGAAATTGGAGAAGTTCCAGCGGGAGATCCTCTTCCACGAGGAAATGGCTCAGGAAGTGTGGATGGCCACCGGGTCCACCAAGCGGGTGCTCCAGGAGCTCCGGGAAGAATATGACTTCAAGAGGCAGAAGCCGGCTCACTGGGAGGCCAAGTTCCAGCCTTTCTGGACAGTGCTTTGGCTCCTAGGGCTCCAGCCACAGTCTGCAGGGCCTGGAAGTACCAGGGGGACCGTGAGCCACTAGGACCCCCAGGAGGGAGGTGAGTCATCACCTGAGGGCTTGGGTCCAGAGCATCTACCTGTTTGATTCCATTTTCCCTGCAGCCAGGTCCTGAATACCCTGAAACTCGGCCGAACATGAGCCTGAGCTGCTCCCTCGAAAACACTTTTATCTCTTGTTACTTTAGGTACCATTTATTAATTGAAACTGAAATTGTTCTTAGTGAAGTTGGATAGATAGCGTTAGGAGTGTAAGATACTGTTTTACCAATAAAGATTGTTGGATGTAAAAAAGAAAGTTTTTCACACTTGTTTCTCCATAATAATTCAAGTACTTCTATTTGCATTTGTGTCAAATTACATCCCTATACATATAATACTAAAAGACTTATTTATATGTTTACAGATACACTTGGCATTGTGTCATACTATTATATTTATCTCATAATTTAAATGTTAAATAATATTGTGTCATGTAGATATGCTTTAATTTATGAACTTAATTCCCTATTGTGAACTATTTAGTTTGTGTCCATTCTGTGGCTATTGAATACTGCAAATTAGTTTGTTTATTCAGAAAATCCTCATTCGGGCATTCACCAATCTACTATTGGACACTATCCCGGCCATTGCATTTTTATGGAAGAAGCCTAACATTGAAAAGACTACTGATAATGAGTTCCATGGGACCAGCTGTTACAGGAAAAGTAGTTTTTGTGGAATATTTTAGGTTAGTTTACCTAAATTCCTATGAGAACTGTCCTTTCAAAATATTCATAACGGGCTATAGAACAAAATCTATTTATTCACTTGCTGTGGTTTGAATGTGTTTCCTCTAAAATTCAGGTGATGCTTGGCTGGGTGCAGTGTTTCATGCCCGTAATCCCAGCACATTGGGAGGCCAGATCTCTTGAGCCCAGGAGTTTGAGACCAGCCTGGACAACAGTGAAAACCTGTCTCTACCAAAAAAAAAAAAAAATTAAAAAATAATTCAGGGGTTGCCAATGCGATAGTATTAAGAGGTAGGGCCTTTAAGAGGTAATTAGGTGATGAGAGCTCCTGCCTTATGAATGGGATGAAGGCCTTTAAAAAAAAGTCTTCATGGCCAGGCACGGCGGCTCACGCCTATAATCCCAGCACTTTGAGAGGTGGAGGTGGATGGATCACTTGAGGGCAGGAGTTTGAGACCAGCCTGGCCAATGTGGTGAAACCCTGTCTCTATTAAAAATACAAAAATTAGCTGGGCATGGTGGTGGGCACCTGTAATCCCAGTTACTTAGGAGGCTGAGGCAGGAGAATTGCTTGAACCGAGGAGGCGGAGGTTGCAGTGAGCTGAGATCATGCCATCACACTCCAGCCTGGGCGACAGAGCAGGAGGCTTCATGCAGCCTTCATCTTCTTTTGCCCTTCTGCCTTGAGACCATGCAGTAAGAAGCCCTCACCGGATGCCGGCTCCTTGATCTTGGAATTCCCAGCCTCCAGAGCTGTGAAAAAATAAATTTCTGTTCTATATAAATTACCCTGTCTCAGGTATTTTATTTTAGCAAAATGGACTGAGACACCACTAGTAGAATAGCTATCCTCTAAAACAATTTTCATCCTTTTCAGCCTGGCACATAACTGCAAAACAATAGTATTAGGTTGGTGCAAACGTAACTGTGGTTTTTGCAATTACTTTTAATTGTAAAAACTGCAATTACGTTTGTATCAACCTGAGAGCATATTAATCTTTTCTTGTTTTTCACCTTAGGTGGGGTCTTTGAAACTAGCTGGAGAGTATTAGGTGCTGAAAAGAGTATAAGGATTCAGATTTGTTCCAGGTGAGGCCCACACAGCTTTCACCCACTGTACCTCCCAGGATGAACTGATGTTGGTTGACCAGCGGGAGTTGTGGTAATAGTTCATACACAAGGGCACGTTTGCTCTGTTGCAGCCAGCACCGGCACACCATATGCATGCATTTTGTAATTGTTTTCGTCTGAATGAATTAAGATATATGTTGCATAGCTGATCATTTTGAAGTTATCGCTGGTAACCATTGAGCCAGAGACAAAAACAGGTGCTATCCTCATGGAGTTTGCTGATTCTAGGATTTCTTGACAATAGGGATGATTTTGAGTGTTCAAGACATCAGGCTAATGTGGGCTGCTGAGTGATTGCCTTCTGTGTGGGTTTATGTGTGTGTTTTCCTCTGCTGAAGCATTCTATAGTCTACATTACATAAAATAAGATGTTCCATGTGATTTCCTTTGAAGAATGCTTGAGTAATATAGCTGTTGAACTAGAAGTGCTGAGCAGTATATGCTTCTTGGGATGTCTTATGTAACATTTGGTTGGATGGACCTGATTTTCAAAATGTCATCATCTTAAAAGTTTTATTTCTGCTTTATGGTGGCATAATTGTCAAAAATTATATATATTCAACGTATACAATGTGATGTTTTGATATACACGTACATTGTGAAATGACGACCAAAACCAAGCTAATGAACGTATTTATGACCTCACAGAGTTACCTTTTTTCTGTGTGTGTGATGGAAACACGTCAGTTCTACTCTCTTAGCAAATTTCAAGTGTCCAATACAGTGTTATTAACTACAGGGACCCACCCTACTGTACATTAGGTCTCCAGAACTTATTTGTTTTATAACTTTAAGTTTATACCCTTTGACCAACATCTTTGTATTTCCCCTCGCTATGACCCCTGGTAACTACCCTACTACTCTCTCTCATCTGTACAACCAAATGTGTGTGTGTATATATATATATATATATATATATATATATATATATATATATATATATGTATACTGTAATTGAACTATGATTCAGCCATGTGAAAATTTTTTAAAAAGTTTAATATTAATATAACATATGTATGTAACACTTATATATAAAAATATAGGTATACATGTGTTACAGCACACATAATGATTATATATGTGTAACAGGATACATATTTATATATATAAATGTACTGTAATTGAACTATGATTCAGCCATATGAAAAATATTTTAGAAAGAGTTTATGCATATAGAAGTGCTAATGATATATAAAGTTTAAAAAAGACATGCATTATATGAACAAGATGATTCCAAATTCAGTTTTGAAAATAAAAGCATAAAATATACATATATTTAGATATATCTGTATCTAGCTACATCACATTTGCTCTATCCATTTATCCATTAACAGATAAATGATATAACAGGTCTTTACAAATTGCATATGACATATAGATATATATGTCTTATTTACATATATTAAAGCCTTATTCTGATACTATAGTTATGGTACAGTGTAAAATCTGCATATATGTGTGTGTGTGTGTGTATTTTTTTTTTTTCTTTGGGAAGTGTGAGTCCAAGTGATTTGAAAATGCCAGAGAGGGCTGGGCACAGTGGCTTCTGCCTGTAATCCCAGCACATTGGGAGGCTGAGGCAGGCGGATCACTTGAGTTCAGGAGTTGGAGACCAGGCTGGGCAATATAGCCAGACCCTGTCTCTACAAAAAATTTTTTAAAAATTAGCCAGGTGTGGTGATGCATGCCTATAGTTTCAGCTACTTGGGAGGCTGAGTTGGGAGGATCACTTGAGCCTGGGTATTTGAGGCTGTAGTGACCTATGATTGTGCCACTGCACTCCAGCCTAGGTGACAGAGCAAGATCTTGTCTCAAAAAAAGAAAAAGCCAGAGAGCCAAGTGTGACAGCCCTAATACATGTTCAGGATTTTAGAGAGGTTGTGCATCTCTTTCTATGTTTTAAATCTTTGTGATATTTTTAATGAGAAATATAACATGTAGAAAATTTGGAGAACACAACAATACAGACAGAAGAAAATAAAAGCTACTTGCAATTATGCCACCCAGAGATAAATTGCTGTTGATATTTCACATATTTTATTCCATTCATTTTTCTGTGTATCTGCATATATTGTTCTTTTATTTTTAAAAATAAATTTGGAATCATCCTGCTCATGTAATAAATGTATTTTTAAACTTTTTATATCATTAGCATTTTTATATCAATAAACTCTTTTTTAAAAAAATTTTTAACATGGCTGAATTCTAATTCAGTTATAGTACATTTCTCTTCCGATAATTTTGGGACTATTTCATATTAGAGAATCTTGTCTCCTTGTCTTAGATGCTATTTTACCCCATGTATCCATTTTTGAATAAAAAGAGCCTGTCTTTAACAAAGGTCTGTTTTTTTTCTTGAGTACTCCTGAAATCTCTCCTTGGATCTGGAGGTCAAATTAATATAGCAATCCCTGGCCAATTTTGGATGTCTCATTTCTTGTATCTCTCATGCATGGCTCTGGGGTGGATGTTGGACTGAGTCAGGGTTTTCTCTTGCTTCTCTTGTGAGGGGATGCTCCTGTTTTTTCTGTCTCTGCCATTCCATTATATGCTGGTCCTATAACCCAAGGCCCATAGACTCCCTGGTCTTTGTTTTTTCTCATAGTTTGCATCACTGGGTGCCGTGTGTTGGTCTTGTGACAATCTCTGCAAAGAAGCTCTGATGCTGGCTGGGTGCTGTGTGTTGTGGGGGTGGGAACTTATCCCACTATCTTGGAAAGCAGGCACCGGGGACCACAGGTAGGCTTAGATTCCTAGGGAAGGCAGCACTAGGACCATCCAGGCCAAAGTTCAGGGTGATTCCTCAGGGATTGATACCTACTTAATTGGTATTTTACATCTTCAGCTGGTTTACCTTTGAAGCTTTTATGTGTTGTCATGGATATTTCTGTTGGAAAATGTGGGATGGCAAATGGAGCTTAGCGAGTTAGCTGTCACTGCCGCAGAGACGTCTCACACAGATTTGTCAGGGACGATGTTTGGGCTGCTGGGATAGTGGCCTAATTCAGTACCATGTTCAATCTCAGCCTGTGCCCTGGATACCGCTTAGGTTATTGGATGGCATTACTATATGGTGACACGGACGCGGATGCATTTTATCTTTGGTGAGATAGGGCACAGAAACTTTAAACCTTACATGTTTGACAGCATCACAGAGTACAAAGCTCACCGTGGCTCTTTTCAAGTACAGCCCCATTCCATGGCACTGACTCAGGAAGCTTGTCATAGACTGTGCCAGTATTTAGATTTGACTATATGTGTACAAGTTATCAATGTGCTCTGCAGTGATGGTACAGAGGCTAAGATGTGTAGGCATTTGTTATGCTCTTTACAAGATATCTTTGTTAGCATGATAATTTTGCATTTGTACTCTGAACAATCTTCTGATTTTTTTCAGAGTTAATATTCTTTCAGGTGAGGAAATGAAGGTTTAGATAGACAGGCTTGCTGGAGTTTTCCCAGCTAGTACGTGGTACAGCTGGGATGAGAACAGAGCTTTTCCTCTATTTAGTCTAGGACATTTCCTACCATTGCACCAATTTTTAAAACAAACCACTGAATCATCTACTTTCCAGAAGGAAATTTCATTGCAATGGATTTATGCTTTGCTTTATCATTTATCCATTTGACAGTTCTCTGAACCATGATTGCCCCAGTTTAAAGAAATATCAAGAATGCCACACTTGATTTCCCTGAATGCCAAAGTGCTTTCAATGTGTATTGAATAATTGTGGTGTGTAAGGATCGTTCCTAGTGAGCCACTCCCCTTAATGTCACTCCAGACAGCATGATTTATTTACTCCTGAGGATGGTTGATAAGTAGGATACCTACTCGAGGGAGGTGTCACCTTTATGGTGGGACATACAATAAAAATAATTATTGAAACAAATGAAGTTAATTAGATGAGAGAAGTTAAAATATTTGAAGTCAGATGTGCACAGAACAGCAAAGATACTTGGAAATTTTATGATAGTGTTATAATCTCCTTGGCAGATGGCTAAGCATTAAATTGCAGACATCTCTCTTGTTTTTGACTTTTTTTTTTTGCTGCATATTTTGTTTTGTTGTTTACAAAGAAAGTTCTTTGGAAAAAGTTCAGAACATACTAGAAATAATACAGAAAATATTAGGTTCACCCTTAATCCTATCATCTAGACATAATTACCCCCATGCTTATTTTCTCAATCCTATATTTATTAATCTTTTCTCATTTAAAACTACGTTGTGGACATGTGTTCTGGATATTAGCAAATCCAGTTGCCCACCAACATTTTTAACGGCTTCATGGTGTTCTGTAATATTCATCCCTCTATTAATGAACATTTAAGTTGTTCCCAGTATTTCACTATTGTAAATAATAATACATAGAATATCCTTATACATGTGTCTTTGAGAACTTGTTGAATTCTTTTTTTAACAAAAATTCCTACTGGGCTTGGTGGCTCCAGCTACTTTGGAGGCTGCTGCGGGAGGATCAATTGAGCCCAGGTGTTGGAGGCTGCAGGATGGTATGATTGCACCAGTGTACTCCAGCCTGACGACAGAGCAAGACCCCTTTTGTTACAAAATGAAAAGGAAACGTAGAAACAATATTGTTAAATTAAAAGGCATGCACATTTTAAAGTATTTGGAAACATTTTGCCAAAAAAGTAATAATACTAATGTACTAATATGCATTCCAACACATGGAAAATAATGCTCATTTTCCTGCGTGTTAACCATGATTGGTTATTATTATTATTATTATTTGAGACGAAGTCTTGCTCTGTCACCCAGGCTGGAGTGCAGTAGCGTGATCTCGACTCACTGCAACCTCCGCCTCCCAGGTTCAAGCAATTCTGCCTCAGCCTCTGGAGTAGCTGGGATTACAGGCACCCACCACCACGCCTGGCTAATTTTTGTATTTTTAGTAGAGACAGGGTTTCACCATGTTGTCCAGGCTGGTCTCAAATTCCTGACCTCAGGTGATCCACCCACCTTGGTCTCTCAAAGTGCTGGGATTACAGGCGTGAGCCACCACGACCGGCTGATTGGTTATTATTATTAACCATTTTTACTTGCCATTCCAGTAGTTTTTTTAAAAAAAGCAAAAAACCCCAAAACCTATTTTTGCAGTTTGGCTTATTTTTTAGGTTTTTAAATATTTTTTTTTGACACAGAGTCTCGCTCTGTCATCCAGGCTGGAGTGCAGTGGTGCAATCACAACTCACTGTAGCATCAACCTCCTGGGCTCAAGTGATCCTCCTGCCTCAGCCTCCCAAGTAGCTGGGATTACCAGCATGCACCACCACACCCAGCTAATTTTTGAATTTTTTGTATAAATGCGATCTCCCTCTGTTGCTTAGATTTGTCTCAAACTCCTGAGCTCAAGTGATCGTCCTACTTTGGCCTCACAAAGTGCTGGGATTACAGGTGTGAGCCATTGCGTCTGGCCTTTTTTTGTTTTGTATTTTAGTAGTGAGGCTGAACTTTCTCCATGGTTGAGTGTATTTCTTCTTTTGTGAGTTTCCTACTTAATACATTATTTGCCTGCTTTTCTAATGGGAGCGCCTCTTCTCAATATATAACAGCTGTTTATAAGATAAGATTATTTACCCTTAGTGAATTAAGTACAATTGCTTTTCTTAGTTTGTAATTTACTTTCCACGAGGTTTATAGTGTGGTGCTTTTACATTTTTATGTAGTCATATATGTTTATCTCATCTGATCTATATTTTATTAAATTATTTCATATTTTTCCCACTGTTAGGACTTAAATCTTTAACCTATCTGAAATTTATTCTGGCAAAGGATAGGGAGAGCTTTAATTTTTTTTTCCCCAAGTTGTTAGCTAATTGTCCCAACCCATTTATTATCTTTTTTTTTCTTTTTCTTTTTTTTTTTTTTTTTTTTTTTTAGACAGAGTCTTGAGCTGTCACCCAGGCTGGAGTGCAGTGGTGTGATCTCAGCTCACAACAACCTCTGCCTCCCAGGTTTAAGCGATCCTCGTGCCTCAGTCTCCCAGGTAGCTGGGACTACATGCATGCACCATCACTCCTAGATAATTTTTGTATTTTTAGTAGAGATGGGGTTTCACCATGTTGGCCAGGCTGGTCTTGAACTCCTGACCTCAAATGATCCACCCACCTAGGCCTTCCAAAGTGCTGGGATTACAGGCATGAGCCATTGTGTCTGGCCCTAATCAACTTATTATCTTATTGAATGTAGCTGCATTTTTCATTAGTATATTGTCTTAGTCCATTTGTGTTTCTATAAAGGACTAACTGAGGTTGGGTAATTTCTAATGAAAAGAGATATATTTGGCTCATGGTTCTGTAGGCTGTACAAGGGGCATGACACCAGCATTTGTCTCTGGTCAGGGACTCAGGAAGATTCTACTCATTGCAGAAGGGCATAGAGGACCAGAGCAGGCATCACATGGAGAGAGGAAGGAAATGAGGAGGAGGTCCCAGGCTCTTTAACAGTCAGCTCTCACAGGAATGAATCCAGTGAGAACTCACTCATTACTGCAAGGTATTCATGAGAGCTCTGCCCCTATGTTCCAAACACTTCCTACCGGGTTCCACCTCTGACATTGGGGATCACATTTCAACATGAGCTTTGGAGGTAACAAATATCCTAACTATATCATATATATTTCATATGCATTTAATTACCATAACTTTAGATTTCATTTTAATGTGTAGCAAGGGTAGTTTCACTCAATCCATTTCTCTTTATAATATTTCCTTTGCCTTTTCATGAATGTATTCTTCCTTATGAACTTTAAGAATAAAATACAACATTCATTGAATATATTTGCAAAATTGATGTGAGAAATGTACTTGGAATTAGATTGTATTCTCATAGCAAAGGCATCCTGGAGCACGTATATATCTAGGAGTTTGAAATGGACTAGTAATTTTGCAAGGGATTATGGTATTGAGCAGGAGAAAGGAAATGACCCATGGAATGTGTTTCTCATATCACATGAAGTCAACTCGGAGAAGGTGAGGATCTTTATGGTTTAAATTCATTCTGTTCTGTGGATAAGAACTGGCAACTTAATTCTGTCATGTAGTATATCTTCCTTTGGCCTAAGAATTGAGCCAGGAATCCCAGGGTAAAGCAACCTTGAAATTTGTTTTTTTCCCAGAATCATTTGAAAAACATTCCAGGAGGAAAATATGTAGCATTGGCAGGATCTGAGTGAGATACAGTAGTCCCGTCCTTTATTCTCAAGGAATACATAAAACATGAAAGGAGAGATTAACTCTGGGATTATGTGGCAACGCTCCAGGCATATAGGAAAAAAACACTATATACAGGGTTCAGTACTATCCACAGTTTCAGGAATCCAGTGGATTAAGATGTTGTAAATGAGGATTCTTACTTTTTATTTACCTGTGCTGGAACTCCTGGAATCATATGAAGTATTTTAAAAAGCATATTTGACTTCATATTTCCTTTTATTATTTCATATTTTTTTCTCTATATTTTTGCTTCTAAGCAGGTATTTTGGTGCTATAGTAAGCATTTTAAACTTATCAAAATACTTGTGTTGTTTTCATATACAAATAAAGAGAGAAAGCAGACTGGGTTTTGAAGACCAGCAGAAAAAGGTTTCCTAGTCTTGTAAACTTAGGAATTATATAGGATGATATATGTAAAATTTTGCTCCGTTTTTGGGATATGGTAGGTACTTTCCATGATAATGAAAAAGCTTCTCTATAAATTCATGATAAATAGTTTGGGGGATCAATACTGTTTACAAAATTCCCCTCCAAAGTTTCACATTTTAATGGATTCATATTTTAGTAAGCCTAGGGACTGAACTTTACAGGTTGTGGAAAGTCCTCCAAATATTTTTTACTACATTCTAGTAATTACGTTACTAAGGTTTTGTTAGGTTACACATTTTAACCAATTAATATGGAGCTCTCACAATGTCATTTCACGCCAGTAGTATTTACACTTCAGTTTGTTCTAGTTATTAAGTCAATATTTGCAACTTTAGGTAAACATAAATTAACGATATTTAACTAAGGAAATAATGCATTATAGCATCCTCTATATAACTCCTGTAACAACATATGGAATGAAAAATATTAATCTAGTAAAATCATATATTAGGACCTTCAACTTAACTTTAATTCTAATTTTTGAAGAATTTTCAGGTTCATAGATGAAAGTTTAGGTTCAATATTACATCTGCATCTCTATGAATTCAGTCTTTTCAACCTATGTCTGTGTTTCAATAGTTATATTGAATTCAGTATTCACCCTTGAATATTGAGTTTGAAAACAAAATTATCTATGATTTTTTAAAAAATCACTAGGCTATCATGAATTTTATTAAATCTTAGAAAAGTGAGGATTCCAAGCCTTAAGTTGAATGTTCAATTGATTTTATCTTTTAAAAAGTATAATATGGGCTAGGAGCGGTGGCTCATGCCTGTAATCCCAGCACTTTGAGAGGCTGAGGCAGGCGGAGCACCTGATGTCAGGAGTTTGAGAGGAGCCTGGCCAACATGGTGAAACCCTGTCTCTACTAAAAATACAAAAAAATTAGCCGGGCATGGTGGGCACCTGTAATCCCAGCTACTTAGAAGGCTGAGGCAGGAGAATGGCTTGAACCCAGGAGGTGGAGGTTGCAGTGAGCGAGATCGTACTATTGCACTCCAGCTTGGGCGACACGGTAAGACTCCTTTTCTTAAAACACCCCCCACCAAAAAAAAAAAAACAAAAAACAAAACAAAACAAAAAAAAGCAAGAAAAACCCCTATAATGTGTTCAATATACTATATAGGTATTGCAATTTGAAGCATTTAAGTTAGGGTCTGAGTAGCACATGCTGAATGAATAGTGGCCCAGTGCTTTGTGCATAGTGGCTATTCAATAAATATTTACCAAAGTGAAGGACTCTTCCCCAGATCACTCCAGCTCCTCCAGGGTACCTGAAATTTCTGTGGCTGGACATTACAGTATTTAGTCCCGAATAAGAAGCAGGGTTCTTACAAATTGGAAGGGCTCCTACAAAATTGGTTAATTGGGATTAGACTATTTGTATCCTTGCCCAAGGAAGGGTGGCTTTTCTGGGGAGGCTTTTCTGATGGGGACCTCGACTGGTAGGACACTGAGTATCATGGGTAGAGAAGTAGCCTCTGACATGGAGTATTTATTATATTGTAACATCATTGCATTATTATAATGTAACCTTTCCCTGCTCGATGACTCAGGCTATAGGTAGTCTACGTGCCTGACTTGTTGATCTATGCACCTTCTTGAGGTTAGGAATTAAAACACTTTTTTTTTTTTTGGTAATTTTTAAACACTGTGCATGTACCTAAAGTGACCATAGGAATATTTGGGAAATTTTACTTTTGGATATCAGCTAGTTGTTACCAAAGTGCTTTAGGTGGTGGCTAAAAATGTCAGTTTGCCTGACTTTGAATCTTGACTGCACATCGCATAACAGCTGTGTGACCCCAGACTTCTTTTCTGTGCCTTCGTTTCCTTCTCTGTCAAATGGGAATAATAATAGCACCAAGTTCATAGGACGGCAGAGTATCCAAGCAGTGTCTGGTACATGGTAAGAACTCAGTACATGTCAGCGGTGGTGGTGATAATACGTGTATGAGTTCCAAGGTACTGAGTAGGCACAGTGTGAAGTAGTTGTGTTTGTGTCCTGTGATTAGATAGTAGTGATGACTGCTGACTCGCTTTACTCTGTGCCCACCAGAAGAGACCTCAGGTTCTGTGGGATGCACCCTGAGTATGCCCCAAGAAAGAGCAGAGACTTGTACTTAGGATTTGTGATTTGCAGACGCAAGCTTTGCTGTATTTGTTTTGCTCGAAGGGCTTACTGCTGTGGTATTCAGAATGTGAAATAATAGTTAATGGAGACAAGGGGATTAATAGCAGCATTTAAAATCATTTAGTGACTAATAACTTTGTGGCTTATAAAATCTGTACCTTGATATGCAGGGGTGGCTGTTCTATTAACATTTCTAAGCTATTTAAAAGTCAGTTGGATGCTTTTCGGTTGCACATTCATTTTTCATCTTTGCCCTTCCATTCAGGAAACATCAATAAAGTTTAATAATTTTCTGTCATTTCTGGAAAAATAAACAAGATTATAGATTATTAAGGGTTATTTTTCATTTTGATGGTGGATAAATTAGGAGGAATCCTTACTGAATGAAAATTGTGAATTATTGATTATGATCACAGGATTAATATGAAACCACTCATATATCTCGATGTGCATAGCTTCTTTTCTAGTGCCATTGTAGATGGATTGAGGAATACTGTGAACTGGGATTATTGTGTATTAATCATTGAACACCTACTGTGCACCACACTGATTATAGGACGTGTATGCATTATATCTGGCCTGACTTTAGCTTCTCAAAATAGGTATTTTATGGTTGAGGAAATGCAGGCTAGGAGAGGTTGGACAACTGACCCAAGATGCTATAGGTTTTCAGCTTGCTTTCTTTCTGGCATACTTTGCCATCAAGGCTTTTAATATAATTTTTTGCTCCTCAAAAAAATTTCTTTCAACTTTAGTGAAATCTAGCCTCGTATAGGAGAAGGTTCACCATGGGGAATTTGGCATTTGAGTCTTGAAGTCAAATGCTGGGGTATGGGGGACTACATTATTTGTACTCAGGATCCAGAGGGGAGTTATCACAAAGCCAGTGCTTTCTTTTCACCTCTGGTTTAGGGTTGGGCTCCCCTCATACAGTCAAGGTCCAGTTGAATATGGTAATCAAAAGAACAAGCTGGGGAGTCAGAGAGACCTTAGCCTGGATATTGGGTGGTACATCAGTTGGGATGCTTTTGGCTGTAAGTAAGAGATGCTTATTTCCATTTCCAAATGCCTCATCCCAAAAGCAATTTATCATCATAAGTCCAGACGTGGAGCCAGTCAAGAGGTAGCGGCTGACCCACGTGATCCATCTTTCTGCTTTCCTTATACTTGATTTTTTTTTTTTTTTTTTTTTAGCTGGCGTCTCACTCTGTCACCCAGGCTGGAGTGCAGTGGTGCAATCTCGGCTCACCACACCTCTGCTTCCTGGGTTCAAGTGATTCTCCTGCCTCAGCCTCTCGAATAGCTGGGATTACAGGCCTGTGCCACCCCGCCCAGCTAATTTTTTTCTTTGTATTTTTAGTAGAGATGGGGTTTCACCATGTTGGCCAGGCTGGTCTCGAACTCCTGACCTCAAGTGATCCACCTGCCTTGGCCTCCCAAAGTGCTGTGATTACAGGCATGAGCCACTGCACCCGGCCTATACTTTATGTTAATCCGTCCATTCACTCATCATAGGACGGCTGCAGGACTTTCACATATCCCATTCCGACGTGTCAATGTCTGGAGGACATTATGGCTCCATTTCTTCTTGTGGCTCTTTCTTAGAGGAGAGGAGCATTTTTCCAGAACCCTCTTGCCCCCGGAGACGTCTACTTAAGTCTTATTAACCAGAGTTTGGTCAAATGCCTGTTCCTGAAATAATTACTAACAAAGTAAAAATAACCTCTACAAATCAGGGTGTGATAGCTTCCCTTGGGGCACGTGGCTGTGTTGGGGAGGAATGAGTACTGCACAAACCTGAGATCCTGCTAGAAAGGAAGAAGGAGGGAAAGGATATAATCTCGAAGACTTAATTTCCTCCTGGATAAGTGGAGATGATAACACTTTCCTAACATAGTTGTCTAATGAGATAGCTACTGAAATCCAGCATCAGAACAAGAGATTACCATAAATTTGAAGAAGTGTGAAACCAGGTACCACAGCCTGGCCCCTGCTTAGGCTTAGTTACTTAAAGCTGTGCAATTTAAAGCAGTTTTGGAATCTCCCCTTTTCATTTACTTGACAACTGTCTTTTGAGAACCTATCATGTGGCAGGCGCTGTGCCAGGAATGACGTTCAGCACATACCTGTCATGTGCATGCAAGTACTTTTAGCTGTGATTACTTGGTGTATAGTATGTTTGATTGGTTATGTGTTGATTACTGAACAGCTACTCTGATGGCCAGTTTTAGGTGTCAGCTTGACTGGATTGACAGATGCCTGGATGGCTGGTGAAGCATTGTTTCTGGGTGTGTCTGTGAGGGTGTTTCCAGAAGAGATTGACGTGAGAGTCAGAGGACTCTCAATGTGCATGGTGGGCACCATCTGCCTGGCTGGAAGCCCAGCTGGGACAAATAGGCAGATGAAAGGGAATTCACTCTCTCTGCTTTCTGTCTCCCTTCTGAGCAGGTCACTTTTTCTCCTCCGGCCTTTGGACATCCCAGTCCGGTTTCTTTGGCTTTTGGACTCCGGGACTTTTACCAGTGGCCTCCTGGGGGCTCTCAGGCCTGACCGGTGGTGTGCTGTTGGCTGCCTTGCTTCTGAGGCTGCCAGATTTACACTGAGCTATGCTACTGGCTTTGAGCCATGTTAGCAGCTTCTCTGATTCTCTAGCTTGCAGTCAGCCTGTCGTAGGACTTCTCTGCTTCTGTGGTCCTGTGAGCCAATTCCTCCCAGTCATCCCCCTCCATATATACCGTATAGTTTCTGTTTCTCGGGAGACACCTGACTGATACACCTACGTTTCACTCTGTATTATCCATCTTGCATGCATCATCTCTGATCCTCACAAAACCTTTTCAGAGTAGATTATTTTACAGTTGAGGAAATGCCTGTAACAATGTCAAATACATATTATTTTCAGGAAGTACTGGTTGGGAGAAAACCCCTCAGAATTAGAAAATATTCTTGCTGTTTCGAAGGAGTCCAGTATGTCAAAGTCTACCTGCCTCTTTCATTAATAAATACTGGGAAGCTGAGGTGGGCAGATCACTTGAGGTCAGGAATTTGAAACCAGCCTGGCCAACATGGTGAAACCCCATCTGTACTAAAAATAGTAATAAAAAAATGTAGCTGGGCGTGGTGGTGGGTGCCCGTAATCCCAGCTACTCGGGAGGCTGAGGCAGGAGAATGGCTTGAACCCTGGAGGTGGAGTTTGCAGTGAGCCGAGATCGCGCCACTGCACTCCAGCCTGGGTGACAGAGTGAGATTCTGTCTCAAAAAAACCCCCCAAAACAAAACAACAACAACAACAACAACAAATTGGGGATAGGTCTGCTTGTCTTATAAGTTTGTAGCCAAAGTATCTCATATGTTTATATTTTTGAAAATCCATTTCGTTCCTGGAATATGTTAATTTATTGATATTCTAGTCAGTAAAAGACTTGCATGGAAAACATTGATTAGATGAAACACTGAAACAGCTAAACCTCACTTCCACTTGTTTAAGACATCAAGCTGTTTAAAGGTCAGCTGGATGCTTTAACTTATGAAATGTGTAAGCAGAGGAGTGATTTTCTGAAGAAAGTCGTTTATATTAGAAATAATGATTTATTTAACTGTGTTTTGGTCACAAGCATGACATTTCGAACACAGTAAACTTTATAGATATGAAGATTATTGGGAAAGATTTATTTTAAAAAGAGAGGGATATGAAAACACGGGGAAATTTCAGGACATCTCAAACATTGTGCTAATAACACCTGTATTTGAGTTAGTCACATGTACTGCAAATTTTTCAAGAAGAAAAATTGTTTCACCATTTCCTTTATTAGCTAAATTCGGAAGTCAAGTTAGTAGCTAGGTTCATACCTAGTTCTTTGTTTAGAGTGCTTGTATTCTATTTAGTAAGAAGGGACATGGTTTTACCTCTTTATCAAGGGCTCACTGAGGTAGTATATTCTGGGTGGTGGTCAACACAGATTTCTTTTCCATGTCAGAGGGTCAAGCTGGACCTTTCAGCCTGGCCCTAGGGAAGGCTGTGTTGGCATTTTCCATTTTTGTAAATGACATCATAGTCTTTCAACTGAATGGCTAGTGACTATGTCCTATTTTTTTTTAAGACAGAAATATGTGAAATTTAAGGAACAGCTTTCTCTACAGCTGATGATGTGGGAGGTTTGTGAATAACCGTTGGCAGGTCCTATGAAGAGGAGGAGCTAGTGTTCCATGGGGACGTGTGCACATGTTTTTATCCTGGGAATATTGCATTTGTGTGATATCTTCTCTTTCAGAATGTATCAAAATAGAAGCTTGGGCCAGGCGCGGTGGCTCACACCTGTAATCCCAGCACTTTGGGAGGCTGAGGTGGGCGGATCACGAGGTCAGGAGATCGAGACCATACTGGCTAACACGGTGAAACCCCATCTCTACTAAAATACAAAAAATTAGCTGGGCGTGGTGGCAGGCGCCTGTAGTCCCAGCTCCTCGGGAGGCTGAGGCAGGAGAATGGCGTGAACCTGGGAGGCGGAGCTTGCAGTGAGCCAATATCGCACCACTGAACTCCAGCCTGGGCCACAGATTGAGACTCCATCTCAAAAAAAAAAAAAGGAAGCTTGGGGCCAGTGGACTTGTTGGTGCATATTAAATGGGTTAGAGAGACACGTTCTTAATGTTATGGCTCTTCAAACATACTCCAAACCTCTCCTATTTGACCAGCCAGAATCTTATGTTATTAGTGTTGCTAACCCCTTTTTCCCTATATTTTTGATAGTACGCTGGAAAGAAATGTCTGTCTGTCTTGAGGTTTTCAGTCTTTATTTAAGGTTTTGACGATACCTGCAACATAGACAAAAGCTAGGATTTTAGATTGGGGGAAATTTCCTACTAGTAGTCCAGTAGTACCGGCATTTTCTAACCCCAAATTTATGTTTCTTCTTCATATTACTGTTTTAAATATTCTGTATTGGCTGGGCGCGGTGGCTTATGCCTGTAATCTCAGCACTTTGGGAGGCTGATGTGGGAGGATTACCTGAGGTCAGAAGTTCAAGACCAGCCTGACCAACATAGAGAAACCCTGTCTCTACTAAAAATACAAAATTATCCCGGCATGGTGGCACATGCTTGTAATCCCAGCTACGCACGCAGGAGGCTAATGCAGGAGAATCGCTTGAACCCAGGAGGCGGAGGTTGCGGTGAGCCAAGATCATGCCATTGCACTCCAGCCTGGGCAACAAGAGTGAAACTCCGTCTCAAAACAAAACAAAACAACAACAAAACAACCGCTGTATTGTTCTGTGATAGGTGAGCAGGCACTTGTGTTACTTTGTAATACTGTCTTATTCCATTTTCTGATGTTATGACAGAATACCAAATGGAAAGAACATATATTTATTTATCATAGTTCTCAAGGCTGAGATGTCCAGGATCAAGGTACTGGCATCTGGTTAGGGTCTTCTTGCTGTGTCCTCGCATGGCTAAAGGTGGGCAAGAGACATGAAGCCTCTTTTACAAGAGCCTTAATTCCATTCATGAGGGAAGAACACTCATGGCTGATTTCCTCTTAAAGGCCTCACCTTTTAATACCATCACATTGTAAAATACATGAATTTTGGAGAGGATACATTTAAACCATAGCATTAAATTAAGGCATTAAATCAATTTTGGTTGCTTATGACAAAGATCTCTGACAACCTAACTTTATTCCTGTAGTTGGTATTTTTACTGTAGGCAGATTTGGTCAATTAAAATGTAATCTTGTGAGTCACATGACAAAATTTTCTTTCTTCTTCTTTTTTTAAGGTTATGTAATAGAGGGAGAGAACTCACTAGTCCTGGGCCATAAAAACTCTGGGCAAAGGATGTGTGACTTCTCTTCTGTCAACTAGAAATTATATGGCCACACCACAGGTTTGTCCGACCAGTCTATCGGGCAGTTTACATATCAGAAATTTGAAGAGCAGGTCTGAGTAATTATTGACATGAAAAACAAAAATAGAAACACAAAGCACTTCTAAAATATGTGTGTCAAAGGAGTGCACTTCCAGAATTTTCTCCTTCTGGTCTGTAAGGCAAAACTTTTTCAGGTGACAGTGCCCACAATAGACAAATGTGAGTCATTTTCCTACAATTTTGAAATTATTGTTAGTTCATTATTCTTAGGGTTCTACTGTAGATGTGAATTTAGAGAATGGAATCTAACTCATCATGGATGATTTCCTTTTTGCAAAGCATCTTGTGGGACAAGATAATAGTATTAATAACAAGAGAAATGGTAATACAGTTGAACCCTTGAGTAACGTATGTTTGAACTCCTTGGGTCTACTTATACGTGGAATTTTTTCAATGAATATATTGGAAACCTTTTTGGGGATTTATGACAATTTGAAAAAAAACTCATAGATGAACTGCATAGTCTAGAAGTATCAAGAAAAAATAAGGATGGTATATCATGAGTGCATAAAATATATGTAGATCTTAGTCTATTTATGTGTTAATCAACTGTTTATGTTATACCAACTGTTTAGTTGGCAAGGTTTCCAGGCAACAGTAGGTTATTTTTAGTTAAGGTTTTGAAAAGTCAAAAGTTATATGCAGATTTTTGACTGTGCAGGGGGTCTATGCCCCAACCCCCATGTCGTTCAAAGGTCAACTCTATTAGTAATGGTAATAGCTATTAGTAATAGCTAACATTTATTTAGCTTATAATGTCCAGGTACTGTTCTAGAGTCTTTACATATGTTAATAATTATGACTTACAGGCTGGGCACAGTGGCTCATACCTATAATCTCAGTACTGTGGGAGGCCGAGGCAGGAGGATTGCTTGAGACCAATAGATCAAGACCAGCCTGTGCAACATAGTGAGATTCCATCTTTATAAAAACATTTTAAAAAAAAGTTAGGTGTGGTGATACACACCTATAGTCCTAGCTACTAGAGGGGCTAAAGTGGGAAGATCACTTGAGCCCAGGAGTTGGAGGCTGCAGTGAACCATGATTGTGCCATTGAACTCCAGTCTGGGTGACAGAGCAAGACTTTGTCATTTACAAAAAAAATTATAAGTTACTATTTTCATCCCCACTTTACAGGTGAGGAAACTGAGGCCCAGGAAGGTTACGAAATTTGCCCACAGTTTATAGTTGGCAGAGAGGGATTTGAACATTACTTTCTTATTTCAGATTTTTTTGCTTTTAACCACTATGCTGTGTTTCCCAAGGTTCTGATCATTTCAGAAGGTTTGTTTTCTGTTGCATAACTATGAGAGCTCAATTTTGGTTGAATTCTTTCAAGTGGCATCAGTGTTTTGAAGTCTGAGTAGGCCAGGTGAACAACATCCATTTTCTTACCTGGGTTCTGAAGAACTTGGGAAATAAAAGAGGAAGGCAGATATAAGATTAAAATATCAAATTTATTACCGACAGAGAGCTTGTTCTTGGGAACTGTCCCCAAGAGGAAGAAAGTTGAGGATGCCCACCTGTATTCGTCCGTTTTCGCGCTGCTCATAAAGAGATGCCCAAGACTGGGTAATTTATAAAGAAAAGGAGGTTTAATGGACTCAAATTCCACATGGCAGAGGGCGAAAGGCACGTCTTACATGGCGGCAGACAAGAGAGAATGAGGGTGAAGTGAAAGGGATTTCGCCTTATAAAACCTTCAGATCTTGTGAGACTTACTCGCTACCATGAGAACAGTATGGGGGAAACCTCCCCCATGATTCAGTTATGTGGGTCCCTCCCACAACATGTGAGAATTATGGGAGCTACAATTCAAGATGAAAGTTGGGTGGAGACACAGCCAGACCCTATCACCACCTATTTCTAGGTTTACCAATCAGCTAAGTTAAGCCATCTCCTGGGGGTAAAGGGAGTGAATGGGACAGAAAGAGCCATGGAGTGGGTGGGACTAGAGGGAATTCTTCTTACTGGACACCAGAAGAGTGTTAAAAGGGATCCCCTGTAGGCAGAGCACGGTGGCTCATGCCTGTAATTCCAGCACTTTGGGAGGCCAAGGCAGGCTGATCATGAGATCAGGAGTTTGAGACCAGCCTGGCCAATATGGTGAAACCCTGTCTCTACTAGAAATACAAAAATTAGCTGGGTGTGGTGGCACATGCCTATAATCCTAGCTACTCAGGAGGCTGAGGCAGAAGAATCGCTTGAACTGGGGAGGTGGAGGTTGCAGTGAGCAGAGATTGTGCCACTGCACTCCAGCCTGGGTGACAGAATGAGACTCCATCTCAAAAAAAAAAAAAAATTAAAGGTGTCCCCTGTAACATTAGCATTATGTGTTAAGTCTGGAATCTAGTGAAAAGTTCACATTTCTGTTAGAACAGGGAACGGAAGGGTTAATGATGTTCAGGAACGGTTTTATGGCTCAGTGGGAAAATTGCATGTTGTTAGAAATATAGTTGGATTCCTCTCCTGAGTTCATGCGAAATTGCTGCGTATTTCGCCTCTCACTGATTGCTGGAATTTAAAAATGCATTCCTCTGGACCAAGGTAGTTGTGTTTCCTTTCCATGTCTTTGAAGTGCTTTTCTCCCCCTTAACTTGTCAGTGGCGTGGCGTACATGTTTTTGTTACTGACAGTGTGGCCAATTATTGTGTTCTAGAAGGCATTGTTGTCTCTGAGAATGTTACATGATATGAGTAGCAAGTCTGTTTATTCAGAAAAACACCTCAGATCTCAAACCAATTTAGAGAGCTCAGAAAGCAGTACTTGGAGAGACACTTCCGAGAGATAGCTTAGTACATCATCAGAGTCCTTATTCCTGATTCTAAGGCCATTTAAGCATGGGTCACACTGGACTGCTAGTTGGCATAGAGAGGAAGTGATTGGTGGTGAAATCTGTGGTACTTAAAAGCGCTGACAGTGTAGGAGGCCAGATTTCAATTTCTAGAGGTGTCATTTTAGAATGGAGTAGGGAAGACATATGTGTCACATAGTGGTTTTTTTGGTTTATTTGTTTGTTTTGAGACAGTCTCACTCTGTCACCCAGGGTGGAGTGTAGTGGCGTGCTCTCGGCTCACTGCAACCTCCGCCTCCCGGGTTCAAGCGATTCTCCAGCCTTAGCCTCCCAAGCAGCTGGGGTTACAGGTGTGCACCACTACACCTGGCTAATTTTTGTATTTTTAGTAGAGATCTGGTTTCACCATGTTGGCCAGGCTGGTCTCAAACTCTTGGGCTAAAGCCATCTGCCTGCTTTGCAAAGCCTCCCAAAGTGCTGGGATTATAGACGTTGAGCCCCTGTGCCCAGCCTGTCACATAGTGTATAATGACAGTTATGCATAGAGATCGAAAAATGTTGGTCAGAGGGCACAAAGCTTTAGTTAGACGGGAGGAATGAGTTCCTATTATACAGCATGGTGACTCTAGTTAATAATTATTATATACTTAAAAATTGCTAAGAGAGTAGGTTTTATATGTCCCCACCACAAAAAAAAGGTTGATTATGAGAGGTTATGACTATGCTAATTAGCTTGCCTTAATTTCACAATGTGTACATAGATGGAAGTATCATGTTGCACAGTTTTTATTTGTGAAGTATGTCTTTGTCGTGAAAGCAGCCGTAGTCTATGCTACAGGGATGGGCGTGGCTGTGTTTTGATAAAAATTTATTTACAAAAATAGGAGGAGGGGTAGATTCAGTTTGCTGATGTGTCAAATAAAGTAAGTTTTGTTCAAAACTGTTTCATCATAACATCTATGAGAAAAAAATGAAATGGATTCTTGGCCAGGGCTAGTGTCTGGGTGGAGTTTGCATGTTCACCTCATGTCTGCATGGGTTTTCTCTGGGTACTCCAGTTTCCTCTCAGCCCAAAGCTGTGCACATGGCATTCACTGGCATGTCCACCTGTTTGCAGTGTGAGTGTGGATGTGGGTGTGAGCGTGCCCTGTGATGGGACGGCGGCCTGCCCAGGGCGGGTTCTTGCCTGACACCCTGAGCTGCTGGGATGGAATCCAGCCACTTGCAACCCTGCACTGGAATAAGTGGATAATTATCTTACTTTTTTATTAATCTTTCTTAAATAAATGTGTAGCTCACATTTATTTTGATGTTGAGTAGCAGAAGTGTTTTGGTCTTTATTTAGAAGCTTGGTGGTGTTTTTGGATCAGAAATGTGCTGTAAGAACTTAACTCTTGTTTTTGCCTTTTTTTTTTTATTTTTGATTTCCATAGGTTTTTGGGGAACATGTGGTATTTGGTTACATGAATAAGATCTTTAGTGGTGACTTGTGAGATTTTGGTACACCCATCACCCGAGCAACATACACTGAACCCAATTTGTAGTCTTCTATCCCTCACCCTCTTCCCACCCTTTCCCCACAAGTCCCCAAAGTCCATTGTGTCATTCTTATCCCTTTGCATCCTCATAGCTTAGCTCCCACTTGTGGGTGAGAACATACGATGTTTGCTTTTTTATTCCTGAGTTACTTCACTTAGAATAATAGTCTCCAGTTCCATCCAGGTTGCTGCAAATGCCATTAATTCATTCCTTTTAATGGCTGAGATGTATTCCATCATATATATATCTCACAGTTTCTTTATCCATTCTTTGATTGATGGGCTTTTGGGCTGGTTCCACATTTTTGCAATTTTGAATTGTGCTGCTATTAACATGCATGTGCAAGTATCTTTTTCGTATAATGCCTTCTTTTCCTCTGGGAACTTAACTCTTGTTTCTATCAATCAGCCTGTGGTAAAACTGGTTTCCTTGTAGGTCCTTTCCCTTAAGGTCGCAGTTTCCAAGAACCTATGCACAACACTAAAGATTTGCTGTACATGTGATAAACAACATAGCATGCTGATTAAGAACATGAACTCTGAGGTTAGACCACCTGAGTTTGAATCTCTGCAGCTTCCTTCTGTATGACCTTGAGCAAGCGATTTAACCTTTCTGTGCCTTGCTTTCTCATCTGTAACATGGAATAATAAAAACCTTCCTCATAAGGGAAAAAAAAAGAGTAAGAACCTGCACTGTTCAAAATGTAAATTAAGTGTTATCAGATGCCCATTGCCAAATTCTCTTCCTTTTCATGGTTTTTGAATGCTTGTTTGTGTGTAGCTTGACCTAGAAGCTTTGGGTGATGTGAAAAAAAATAGGAAGAAAAATAGTGACAGCTAACATTGTGCACCTATGATGCACCAAGAACTGTGGGAAGTATCCCCTATCATTGCTTCATTTCACTCCAGGAGGTAGGGACCATTTTACAGATGTGGAAGCTGAGGCCTGTGGTGGAGCTCCTTTCCCGTGGTCTCACACTAAATGGGGAGAGACTGCAGACCTAGCCCTGTGGACCAGCTGTAGCATCGCATCTTCTCCAGGAAAGGAGAGAGGGTGGGCAGTGCTTTGCTTACCTGATTTCATTCTGGTTGAGGGGATAAACCTGGAAAAATACTTAAATGCCTATATTAACTCATGAAAAAAAGAAAGTATTCTACAGGAGAAATGTAGCACTTTGTGGCCTTTTATGCATGGTGGGGATGGGTGGTTTGCTGTTAGTATTATAGTTTTTCACCTTTTGGGTTTCATTATGTTTGCACCAATGAGACTTGTCCTTTAATATTACTTGAATGAAGGACGTCGGTTAAAGGTCTGTGCCCAAAGGCTGGTTTCCTGCTGCCCCAGCACAGCTTCTGGTGACCCGGAAGTGATCCTATGATGGGGAAAGTTGGAAGGCTGTAAACATCCCAGAGTTCCTGTTGGTACATTGAATTCATTGGTTGGTGACCCGGAAGTGACCCTATAATGGGGAAAGCTGGAAGGCTGTAAACATCCCCGAGTTCCTGTTGGGACATTGAGTTCATTGCCATCCTGATGCTCCACACACCAGGCCTAAAGTGGCTGCGGGGGTGGGGAAGGTGGCATTGGTGCCAGTTAGCATACTTCTCAGGATTCACATGCTGACAGGTGTTTATTTTTTCTTGATCAAAACACAACAGAATAAAAACCAGAGGGCTTTAAACTGAAGTATATCGTGCCCTTACTGTAAGCTCAAGGACACTGCATCTCCATGGGTTCTAAACATAAGATCTCCCACCAACCCTGCGTCCACTCTGACTCCAGCACCTGATGACCTTGTTGGGGTTGGAGAGATTTCCCTCTCAGCATCATCTGTGTGTGCTCATATATAACGTTAGGCTAAGAAGATAGCCCCCCCTTTTTTTATATAGAGCTTTGCCATTTGCTTCCACAATGCAATCTAGATTATTTCTTTGGTGTCCTCATATGTGTTTTCCATTTTAAAGGTGGATAAAATGTGGAAATAGTACGTTACCCTAAGAAAAATAACTAGAATTAATCATAAAAGCAACTGTCTTGTATTTATACTGGAAGGACAGAATTAAAAACAACCAACTAACAAAAGAAAACCAAAATTGTTGCTCAGATAGGCAAAGAGAGGGGAAATGTAACTGTAATGACAGATTCAATTTCTTTAAAAATAAATGTTACCAATATTATCCCTAATGCTATTTTATTTGCTTAGAAGAGAATGCTGCATTAAGCTTCACCTTTATATGCCACTATTATAGGTCTAGATTTGTTATCAAATCACTTCCTGGAAAACAGACAAAGCAATACCTAACAATCACTTGAAATGAATAATCAGATCTCTCAAAATTATACTACATTTTTTTTTCAAATCAAGATAATTGTAAGGAATTGACATTGAAAGTAGAGACAGCTTTTGTAGTATTCTGTTTTTCAAGAAACTAGGTTATCTTTTTACCAAATGCAGACTTAGCCCTTCCCCTGATAGTTGTCTTAATAGAAGTCAGTTGTATACTGGGAATGTTTTTATTTTTAAAATGATACTCCTGGCTGGGTATTGCGGCTCACGCCTGTAATCCTAGCACTTTGGGAGGCCTTGACGTATGTATCACCTGAGGTCAGGAGTTCAAGACCAGCCTGGCCAACATGGCAAAAACCCGTCTAAAAACCCCTCTACTAAAAGTACAAAAACTAGACAGGCGTGGTGGCACATGCCTGTAATCCCAGCTACTCAGGAAGCTAAGACAGGAGAATTGTTTGAATCTAGGAGGTGGGGCTTGCAGTGAGCTGAGATCGTGCCACTGCATTCCAGCCTGGGTGATAGAGAGAGACTCGTCTCAAAAAAAAAAAAAAGGATACTCCTCAAATTATGCCTACTTGTAATTTGGAGTATGGTCGCTTTTTCCTGTGCACAAGTTAAATCTTTGATAATCTTAAGAAAAGCATGATTTTAGCATGGAGTGAGGATTATGAGATTTGTTTCTGTAGCCGATTGAATTGTTTTGTTTCTAAGTGGTTGTATATCAAGGAATATCAAATAACTATATCTGTCATTTTCGTGTGTCTGTTTTTCCCCACTTATTTTTTAAGCCAGTTAAATGCCTTGCTGAATGAGAGTGAGGGGAGGAAGTGGGGGTGAAATGAATGCTTTTTAGAACTTCCTCAACACATTTAGTTCTTTTCATTCTTTCTTTTTTTAAATAGAGATAGTGTCTTTTTTTCTTTCTTTCTTTCTTTCTTTTTTTTTTTCTGAATAGAGATAGAGTCTTGCCATGTTGCCCAGACTGGTCTTGAATTCCTGGGCTTAAGCGATCCTCCTGCCTCTGCCTCCCAAATAGCTGGAACTACAGGCGCACACTACTGCACCCATCTTTTAGCTCTTGTTTGCTAGATGTATATGGGGCTATGATGGAGAGCCCAGCATTAGCAGTAGAGGGTAGACATGGCTTATTAAAATAAATGTCAAGCCTTGCTTGGATTTTGTTTTACCCACATCAGCACCCCTTGAGGCTAAAACTTTCTGTAAATCTCTCTGTAAAACAGAACAGGATTATGAACATAGAACATGGTTTATCATGTTCTCTGATGAGGAGAATTGCATGTGGATTTAGAGGAATCCCCAGCCAGGCAGTCTGGGACTCAGTGGCTGGTAGGGGGCTTAAGTTTATAACACTGTGGTCATGGCCTAAGCAAGTAGCAAGCCTTTTCCACTTCCCTACTCCCACCGCATCTTGTTCCACATTGCTTCTTCAAAGGAGGCAGCATGGATATCTCTTCTTTGCCATGAATGAAGGTGGTGATAGACAAACCACCACTTAGCATCTCTGAGACTTCTGTGGACAATTGCTGTAATGTGTAGGTGGCAAATAAGATGAGGTCTTCCCACTACTGACCCAGTATTCTTTAGCGTTTTTCTAGTGAATTAATTTTAGGTAGCAACTTCCTTATTCTACTTGAGAAAATGTGAACAGAGGAGTGATACTGTAAAATACATACTTGGTGTTCAATCTCTTTTTCTGGTACATAACTCCTAAAATCCTTAGAATCTCCAAAGTGATGTCTTTTGTATGCTAATGAACTGATTGATGGCTTGCAGAACCTAGGTAGCTTCAGAATTACTTCTGGTCACCTAAAGGACCCAGGCAGGAAAAGAGGGTTGAGATTTTCAGCCCCACCCCCAACACCCCGGGGAGGGGGAGAGGGTCTGAAGGTTAAGTTGATCACTCATTTCCAATGGTTTATTCAATCATGCCAACGTAAGGAAGCCTCCATAAAAACCCAAAAGGACAAGGTTCAGACAGTTTCTGTATGGCTGAACATGGGGGAGTGGAAGTTTCTAAAGGGTGACATACCTGAGTATCAGATGGTACCTCCTTGTACCTTCCCTCATACCTTACCCTATGCATCTCTTTATCTGTATCCTTTGCAATATCTTTTACAATAAACCAGTAAATATAAGTAGGTGTTTCTCTGAGTTTCGTGAGCCACTCTAGCAAATTAATCAAACCCAAGGAGAGGGTCATGCTCCAGATCCTCGCAACTTGAAGCTAGCCTGTTAGAAGTTCCCAAGGCCCTACGTCTGGACTGGTTACCAGTGAGAAGTAGGGGGCAGTCTTGGGAGACTGAGCCCTTAACCGGGGAATCTGAGGCCATCTGCAGGTAAATAGCATTAGAATTGAATAGGAGGACAACCAGCTGGTGTCTGCTGCAGAACTGATTGCTTGCCTGGTGTGTGGGGAGAAACCCTCACATATTTGGTCACAGAAGTCTTCTGTGTTAATGATTTGTGTGGTATCAGAGCAGAGGGAAAATCAAGTTTGAGTTTTTCCTCACTCAAGAGGACAGAAAGATTTTGAATGCTGGAATGATAGGAAATTATGCTTGAATGTGTTTCAACATGGAAGTCATTTTTGTTGACTGCATCACCCACGGGATGTTAGCAGTAAGCTATGCATAAATGATATTTTTATCAGCTTTGCACAGAACGATAGGATATAGAAGGAGAAAACCAGGAAGCTTACAGAAAAAGAGTGTGAAGATTGAAGAAACACCACCTTCACTTAGGCAGGGCACCTGTGTTAAGAGAAAATACCCTGAGATAATTCCTATGTTCCAACGAATGCTGTAAATTAGTGTTTGGTAAGTATCTGTGTTTCCATTCATTTTTATGCCTAAAAAGGTGTTTATACTGCAAGAAACACATTGCTAAATTGGAATTTAGGCTGTTTTTAGAAGATCATAGATTGCTTTTTCCTTCTTGCAGTTTCTCCTTGCACAAGCTCAGCTACATCAGTTGAACAAAACTTTGTGTTATTTTGGGGAGAGGAGACATTTATGATGTGGATGATCATTTTAGGTGGATAGCTTTTTTTTTCTTCTTGATCTTATCCAGCAATTTTATATTAGTTCTTGATGGACCCTTTTTAGGTGACTTTTTATACTCTGTTTTTCTTGAGTGAATTCTGATGAATGTTTACTCCATTTTTGTGCATGTTACATGGCTAGAACTTAGCATATGCATGTCAGTCAAGAGTAATGGCTATTAGTTTTGCTATTCCCAGCTTGGTAGTCTTATTGTTATTTTGAAATGGAGTCTTGCTCTGTCACCCAGGCTGGGGTGCAGTGGTGCGATCTCAGCTCACTGCAATCTCTTCCTCCTGGGTTCAAGGGATTCTCCTGCCTCAGCCTCCTGAGTAGCTGGGATTACAGGCATGCGCCACCACACCCAGCTGCGATGACAGGGGCACACCACCATGCCTGGCTAATTTTTGTATTTTTTTTTTTATAGAGATGGGGTTTTGCCATGTTGCCCAGGCTGGTCTTGAACTTGTTGTCTTGAGCTACCCATCCACCTTGGCCTCCCAAAGTGCTGGGATTACAGGTGTGAGCCACTGCACCCAGCTGACAATGTCTTGAAATTAGTCAAGGGTCAAATTTTTGAGGACCTTTAAGATATTGGGTCTACTGGTCAGAGCAAGAGACATATACATGAAATACTGTTTAACCAACCTCAGGGAACTCGCATGGAGTATGTGTTTTCCTTGATTATTAGATTATTATGTCCTGAAGTAACTTGACCAAAGAATAAATCCTTTATTCTTCAGCAAGAATCAAGTCTCTCCCATGCCATTGCACCTTTTCTCCTACAGACACAAATTCTTAGATAACAAGGTCATGGAATCATAAGAAGTGGCTGGAACCTTGGAAAGGAACCCTCGAATCTTCCTCTATCATCCCCCACTACTCCTTTATCAACCCTTTGGCTGTGTCTAGACTGAATTCATAATATTTCCCAGAATGTGCTTTTGGCTACTAGCAAATTTTGGCATTTCATATCTTTATGAAATCTTTTACATACAAAGCCTATGAAATATGCAAGAGTTTATATCTAAAGTATCTGTTCGGTGGGAGTTGGCGTGTCATTGAATCTCAGGTGTTAAAATACGTTTTTATATACTCCATGTTGGAATGATACAAAGTTTGTTAACTGAGGGAATGAGTTAAAATATGTAAATTGAAATGTTGCAAATATGCTCATAATTGTAAAATTTCTTTTTGTTATGATTATTAAGCAGGTGGCAGATTGAAGGATAATATTCTGGACATTAGAAAATATTTGTAGATAGTTGATAAATTTTGCATAGATATGTAGAAATTAAGGTATAATACTTTTTTAAATTGTTCTTTCATTTAGCAACATTTTGGGGTTACTATTTTCCAAGGATTTCAGTAAATGTAGGGGATTCAAAGTTGTTGTATGTGGCTTCTGTCATCAAGAAGCTTACAGTTTTGTGATTTTTTTTTTTAATGCCCAAGAATCTAGTTAATTTTTAAAGTAGCTAATGGATGGTGTGGAAAATGTGCCCTCTATTGTTAATGATAGAAGTCTTTAAAAGCACTGATGTAGTAACCCCCCCTGGGGTTCAGGGTCCACTTGGTGTCCCTTTGAAGGGTCATGATTCAGAAGCCCAGGCCTCTTCTCCACACTTCTGACTGATTGTTGAAGGAGTAAGTTTTGCTGTTTGATGTCTTCTCTCCAGTTCTTCTTTATTGACTTTTCCTCTGTGTATAGTATTTGCAAAAGAGTAGAAAACATTCTAAAGCACTGTGATTTAACAAGAGGTACTTGGCTGATTTTAGCTGAAGGCTCTTGTCAGGCTCTTGAGGTCGGATCTAGCCTTTCCCAAGTTGCTCTCTCCTGTTCGCTACTGCACAGCTGTTACTGAGTTGGCATCTAGCCTCTCGAGAGCAGCCCTGAAAGTGAAATCTGGAGCTAGTGTTCAGCTGATGGAGTCACATGGGGATTTATATAACTTCTGATCTTGGCATTACCAATCAGCTTCTTTGTCTTGGTTAGTTTTATGGTTTCTGTAAACCATGGGAATGTTTCTCAAAGTGGTTCCCAGATATTAGCCTCAGTTAATCTGAATTTGTGGCACAGTTCCTTCTGTCGTCACTGGCAAGCACAGTTGGAGTTGGTGGAGTGAACTGCTTTTTGTCTGGTTTTCCAAACAGTTGGAAAAGTTTGTGTTTGACAATTGCAATTGCAATACTGATTGACACCCCCAGCAGATGTGAGGAAAACAAAGTTAAGCTGACTTATATAACCCAAGTAACAAGTGGTCAAAGGCAGTGATAGATGCCTTCTCTTCATCTTTTATGGAGATACTGTCCCCTCATCCTTTAAGGCTAGGAACTTGGTCATTAAAATAGTTTTTAGAGCAAGGTGTAGGGTGCAGATGTGGCATCATTTAAATGGACAGATATTAAGTTTTACTGTGTCGTGCATATGTATGTTGGAGGTTAGCATTGAAAACAAGCCTTCATGTTCAGTGCATACTCATATTGGATGACAACATTGTTCTAAATTGTGTGATAAGGATTTTTCTCAACCCTCTAGTCATCCTGTCATATTCTGAAGGAATATGGTGCCTCTATGAGCACATACTTCTTTTCCACAGTACGCAATCGTCCATGTATTTTTCAAAACAACAGTAACAATAGCAAAATACCAAAAAACCTCACTTACAAATTGGGAAGTGTTATTACTAATGACAAATCAATGGCTTTCATTATCCCAGATCTAAGTAGGAAAGGAAAGGGTGCACCTGCCCTGTTTCAGACACTTGCTAGTTCCTGCATTGGCTCACCTCTCCTTTGCTCGTAGCACTCATTGTGAGAAAGTAGATCAGTCAATAGTACTGAGCTTTTCTTGGTTTGAACTCTTTTTATTTGCAGTGTTATCATTAATTTTTTTCTTAGGAAGTACCAGGAAAAGATAAGAAATTTATGAAAAATGCAGATGGGGATAAAATCTATGTCCAAAGAGTTAGAATAGAGGCCAAGAAATGATACCAATCTAGAGTTTCAGGATGAATATTGACATAGTAAAAGTCCTAGACATTTACAAATTTGTCCTGATATTTTATTTTGTAGATGAGGAAATTTAGGTTTAGGAAAATTAAATGATTGATACAAGGTTGTGCAGATAGTTATTGGTAGAGAAAGTCTAAAGCTCTTTTCAATATTAAAAATAAATAACAAAAAACATGGAAGTGAGCAGGCAGCAAACTGCTGCAGTTTGCTTTGGGCAGTCAGCAAGAGAAAAAGAACTTAGATTGAGTGTAAGCAATTTAAGATAGAGTTTTCCATAATGGAAACTCTTAATAATGGGATGGCGTGCTTTGAGATATCATGTTGAGGAATTATCTACAATATAAGATATTTTTGGTATGGTCCTTTCCTAAAAGGTGGGAGGGAAATTGTTGGAGGCTCTATCCAACCATTGACAGAGTATCCTTTGATTAGTAGTGATACGGTTTTGCTCTGTGTCCCCACCCAAATTTTATTTCAAACTGTAATCCCTGTAATACCCATATGTCAAGGGAGGGACTGGTAGGTGGATTCTCCCATGCTGTTATAATGATATGAGTGAGTGCCCACAAGATCTGATAGTTTTATAAGGGTCTCTTCCCTCTTTGTGCTCTCCCTCTCTCCTGCCGCCATGTAAGACACACCTGCTTCCCCTTCCACCATGATTGTAAGTTTCCGGAGGCCTCCCCAGCCATGCTGAACTGTGAGTCAATTAAACCTCTTACCTTTATAAATTACCCAGTCTCAGATATTTCTTTATAGTGGTGTGAGAAAAGACTAATACAAGTAGTATCCTTTGTTAGTAGTATCCTTTGATTAATAGTATCTGTTATTTACTACAGTGTTCCTTGAGGATCTTATAGTTCAGAGAAGGAAATTATTGATGAATATAAATGAATAATAAAATTCTAAGCCTCCAACTGACTGAATGGACCTCGCTCTAGGCCAGAGGACCCAAAGAAACCTGAAAAACTAGTTCATGCTATGAAAAGAAGTGGAATTGGACATGTTCCGTTACACTCTCCTCCCTTTGGAATTCAGGCACAATTGGCCAGCATACACATTAAAACAGAAATCTGAAGACTGACAAAACACACTGTAGCAATAAGATACCAAATTCAGACCTGACTCTAGTATAGCATCACATGACAGATAACAGGCCCTGAAAGAAATTGAAGCATCTTACCCCAAAATATATTTCTTTGACATATTTTGAAATGGCTCTGCAAAGCTACCTCTTGTGGGGAAAATCTACATTTTGTAGAGAATCCCTTACCCACTCCTAGTCTTTTCCGAATTGACTAAGGTTTGGCATCTTTTTAGGACTAATAAGAGACATTTACCATCTGTTATCTCTGAAACTTGCTACCTGGAGGCTTCATCTGCATAATAAAAACCTTGGTCTTTTCCTTTCCCCTCTCCTCCTCTCCCCTCCCCTTTCCTTTTTCCTTTCCTTTTCCCTTTCCCTTTCCCCTTTCCTTTCCCCTTTCCTTTCCTTTCCTTTCCTTTCCTTTCCTTTCCTTTCCAACAGGGTTTTATTCTGTCACCCATGCTGGAGTGGCGCATCATGGCTTATTGCAGCCTCGACCTCCAGATGATCCTCCCATCTCAGCCTCCTGAGTAGCAGGACCACAGGTGTGGTCCACACCAGTAGCTACCACACCTGGCTAATTTTTGTATTTTTAGTAGTAGAGACAGGGATTTCACCATGTTGCCCAGGCTGGTCTTGAACTCTTGGGCTCAAGTGAGTCTTCCTTCCTCAGCCTCCCAAAGTGCTGGGATTACAGGCGTGAGCCACTGTGCCCAGCCCTTAACTCTTTCAATCAGAAAAATCTTTGAGTCCACCTATGACCTGGAAGTCCCCCTCCCCCAACAGCTTCGAGTTGTCCAGCCTTTCCAGATCAAACCAAAGTATACCTTACATGTATTGATTGAGGTCCTTCTGTAACTTCTGTCCCTCTAAAATGTATAAAATCAAGCTGTAACCTGACTACCTTGAACACATGTTCTCAGGACCTCCTGGGGCTGTGTCATGGGCCTTGGTTACTCATATTTGGCTCAGAGTAAACCTCTTTAAATATTTTACAGAGCTTGACTCTGCTAACATAATAAAGCACTGATAATCTTAACATCTCACTTTGTCCTCTGGTCTTGGCCTCCTTCTCCACCATGAAGAGCCGTGATGAGGACTGTAGCACCGTCAGGCAGACTGGTCGTACTGGAGTTCTCTTCTTTTGATCTGTGGCTAACCAACACATCCAGGTCAATAATAGACCTGTGGGTCACCTTAGATCTGTAAGAGATTTGCCATGGACCTTTGCAGTTAGTGGCTTGACTTTGTTTTGAATTGCATAGTGAAATATTCTCTAACATATTTACTAGCATTTGTAAGTAGATCATTTGTGGAAAAATGACGATAAAAGGTACGAACCCAATTAGTATGAGTTAGGGGCATCCAGGTGAATGATTGTTCTATACCAGTCATCAGCATCATACACCAGTCGGACTCTGTTCTCACTCCTCTTTCATGAAGACATTGAGTGTGCTCAGGATTAGAAACAGGAGATTTTCCCATAAAATTACATATATTTTAAACAATTAAGGCAAAAAGTTATGATGCAAAAGCTAGGGTGAACTTTTCCCATCTCTATATATGCATATTTATATATGTGTATATATTTGCTATTATTATTCCTTTTGAAAATGCTTCTGAACTTATGCAGGTGGAGTGCCCAGGCTTTTGAAGCAGGGTTGTTTGTCTGGGGTAATACCCGAGGCTTGTTGCCTCACACCAAGGCAATCAAAGACACGGACATGGAGTGAGGTTAAGAGCAGAGGTTTAACAGGCAACAGAAAGTGAAAAGCGCTCTCTCCTGCAGAGAGAGGGGCTTCCAAGTGGGTCTTCTGGTTCCATGGTGAAATGCACGGGGTTTTATAGAGTAGCTTGAGGAGGCGGTGTCTGATTTTCACAGAGCCTAAAAGATTGGTTGGACCAGGTGTGCCATTTGCATAGCACATGAAGAAGCTGGCCGCCTCACCCTAATCTTTTATTATGTAGATGGGTTTTCTACCTGGCCTGCATCTCCTTGCCTCCTTCTTTACTGCACACGTGGCAACAAAGAAAAGGGAGGAGGGAGCCTCCATGTTGAATATACCTGGCTATCTATGTTTGCAGCTTGATTTTTCAGGCTGCTTTGTGTTAGAAAAGAAATAATTTGGGGGCTGCTTTTTATTAAAAGGGAAATCTTACCGAGGACTCTCTTACCTCACAGCCTAAATAATTTCTTTTTAGCTCCTGTATCACTTTGATTATCATACAGCAGTGTGCTTGAACAAGGCTCTTAATTTTTTCAGCAGTTTCTGGACTAGGTAGTGTATAAACCAAGAGCACATCTCACTTTTTCATCAACTGTTTACTCTATCACGTTGCAAGGACTCTGAGGGATAGTTAAGATTTAAATATTCCCAGCAGGGAGGGAAGAAGTTTGGATAAAAGAATATCTTTCCCTCTCTCTCTTTCTCTCAGGATTTTATCATTAGAAAAGATCATTTTGCTCGATCATTAAAACTGCCATTAGTGCTTAAGCACAAGAGACACATTCGTTTACCATATATAGTCTGTTGTTTTCCTGGTGTTTTAATTCCCTAGAGCAAAAAAGTATTTGAATTCCAGGTATTTTCAGAAGTTTTGGCATTCTGCAGATGTGAGGTTGCCGTCGTCTAAGGCAGCTAGTAGCCCTCTTTTGCCAGAAGAGTTATAATTATTAGGGATATTTGGAGTTCATTTCTTGTCCAGCTTTTCAACACTACATAATTCTCTAATGACACAATTCTGGAGCACTGAATATTCCATAATCCCTCAAAAAAGTGAATCCAAATATAATTCTCATTGTGACCCTTGGTTTATATAGCCCCCAAACACCTTTTATTAATAAAGAAATTTACTGAAACTGTTTTATGCTTAAGTAGAAAAACAAAGGTGACACATTTGAAATTTATATACTGTTCATGGTCCTGTTTCTCACTGGCTTAGTGGCCTTGAGTACCATACTATAAACCAAACTTATTTTCACAATGATAAAATGAGCGTGTTCTACTAGATGTCATATAAATTCCTCTTTGTCTTTGAAATTATGACTAAATATTTTTATTTTATATTTAAATATAATAAGTCAAGTGTTGTATTGCCCCCTCTATAAAAGCCAAAAAAAAAAAAAAAAAAAAAAAACAGTGGGTCAGACATACCATGTAGAGGATGCTCACATTGTTTGCTAAATTGGGATAAGGATCTTTAAGTTTCCTTCCTACTCCAAGATTTCATGTGAAAGGTACTTTCTTCCCTTAAATTATCTTATCATTGTTTTCAGTTGGTTGGTTGCTTAGGATAGAAAAACATTTCATTTTATATATAAGTAAAACCATGAAAACAGTAATGCTACTTTTAACATTATCATCATCTTAAGATGATATGGCATTTTATATTTTTCAAAGAACATTCACAGGTAACATTTTAGATCAAATGGAAATAAGGTCAAATGAATAACATGGTACATGTATATGCCAAACTGTAATTGTTAGATTCAAGGATGGTAGCATTTTAGGCAGAAGACAAATCTCTTTAATTAGAAATGCAGGCTGCTAAGCACAGCCAGTAATGAGGAGAGAAGAGAGAAGTCACACAGGACATAGTTTGAATGCAGTGCTCTTCTGTCCAGATCAGTTGGTCATACTGTACCAGGCTACGGGGTTATACTGATTGTACATCAGCATATCTATGGTGTCATCCATGTATGAAGCATCCTTAGGTTAAACATGTTGAAACATGATAAAACGTGTCTTAGAATTAACGAAATGTAATATATCTCTAGAGCTAATTTTGGAAGCCAATGGGCAACAGTTTGGCATTTGAATTACTCTTGGTCAGGTTAAATGCTTCATATTAAATATTGTTGGTCACTATATTTAAATATCTCTAAATGGAGAATGTGATATAGTGATATGTGGAACTATATCTGTCACAGGGTAAATCTCAAAATTGGGGTTCAGCCCAGGAGGCCAAGTGGGTTCTTGGCTTCACGCAGGAAAGAATTCAAGAGAGGATAACAGAGTAAAGAGAAAGCAAGTTTATTAAGAAAGTAAAGGAATAAAATGGTGGCTACTCCATAGGCAGAGCAGCTCCAAGGGCTACTGGTTGGCTAGTTTTATGGTTATTTCTTGATCATATGCTAAACAAGGGGTGGATTATTCATGAGTTTTCCAGGAAGGGAGTGAGGAATTTCCAGAACTGAGGGTTCCTTCCCTTTTTAGACTATATAGGATAACTTCCAGACATTGTCATGGCCTTTGTAAACTGTCATGGTGCTGGTGGGAGTGCCTTTAGCATGCTGATGCATTGTAACTACGTATAATGAGTAGTGAGGATGAACAGAGGTCACTTTTGTCACCATCTTGATTCTGGCTGGTTTCATCTGGCTTTGGCTGGCTTCCTTACCACATCCTATTGTATTAGCAGGGTCTTGTGACCTGTGTCTTGGGAAACTAGTCCTACCTCAATAAATAGTTGAAAAGGTGGATAGTAGATAGAAAGGCATAATTTTCTTCTTGACTATTTTAAGGATTTGAAGTCTTCAGAGAAACAAAGAAAAAGAGGAAAAGTCCTATTACTGCTAGATACACTATAGTGAATGAAAAAGACTTTTTTCCAGTATGCCTAAACAGTATTTTGATCACTGTTTTTTTTGTTTGTTTGTTTGTTTGTTTGTTTGCCAGGTTTGGGGCAATAAAATCACATGTGAAAAATCCTCAGAGATTTTTAAAAAGTAGGAGAGACTTTAGAAATCATCTAGTATACCTTCTTCACATTACTAAATAGTAAACAGATTCAGGGAAGTAAATGCTGTATTTAGGGGGATATACCTAAGTTATTCACAAAGCTAGCCCTAGAACCTCCTAGCTCCTAGACCAGGACAATTTTAGGATAACTAAATGCAAGGACAGTAGAAAGCAGAAAGATGATTTTTTAAAATTCTTCTGAATTTTAAGTCTTGTGAAGTAGATACTTTTGAGCCATAGGATATTATGTGACCTAGGAGAAATTAGAGAAGATTTTTACCAACTCAGAAAGGTTTAATACTCAGGACGTGAATCCTTAGCATAGACATTTTCACGTTACTATGCACTAAGGGCTTGAGAAAATATATAACATGAATATTCATGAAAGTCACTTCAGCACAGGTCCCTCTGAAATTTCCTACAGAAAATGGCCTTCTTTCATTGAAAAGGTTTTAGGCTTACAGCTCTGTGAATTGGAATTTGAAAGTTGTCAATGCTGTGTTGATTTACTCGAGTTACTGATGATAGGAGCCTTTTGGTGTATTGGAGCTCTTTTGGATGTACGTGCAGAAACCCAACTGAAACTGACGTAAGCCAAAGTAAAGAAGTGATGTGTTATTGACTCACATAAGTGAAAAGTCTGGGGTAGGGCTCAAGTATGACTTTTTCCAGGGTTGCAAACTCTGCCATTATAACTGGCCCCACTGTTTCTTGGCAGTGTTTCCTTCAGTGTTGGCTTCGTATGCAGGCAGGTTTTCCCCAGGTGTTTCCAAAATAACTCTCCAACTGCTATTTTCCCCTGCTGTCACACCACCACACCATCAACACAGGAGACTTCTGTGACCGGGGTCAGGGGAGGGGTTCCCCATACACCAAGCATGAACCCTAGCTGAGTGTCCTCTTCCAATTCAGTTTCACACTATCTACCTGGAGATAGTGTCAGATCCCACAGGTTGGGGGCTCAGTCCCCACAAGCCCCCAGTAACCCTGGACACCAGTCTCTAATCCAGGCTCCCAGAACTTCTAACCAACTGGCTTTGAGTTGGGGTTCCCATGACCCCCTGTTTGGATTTAATTTGCTGGATCAGCTCACGGAACTCAGGAAAACACTTATTTACATTTACGGGCTTATTATAAAGACTCCTGCGAAGGGTACAGATGAAGAGCTGTGTAGGGTGAGGTATGTGGGAAGGGGTGCAGAGCTTCCATGCCCTCCCTGGGCACCACCACCCAGGAACTTCCACATGTTCAGCTATCCAGAAGCTCCTCAAACCAGGACTCTTGGGTTTTTATGGAAGCTTCTTGATGTTGGCATTCCTTTCCCCAGGCTATAGCGTGGGACCCTATCTGGGGAGGGTCTTAAAAACCACAGTCAGAAAGGTTAGGCAAGATTAGAGTCCTGCCTTGGGGCAGGTGAAAGGAGGGAGGAGAAGATCAGAGAGATTCTGTTTCTTGAGGCCTGCTCCTGGGGCGGAACACACCCAACATTATAACAAAAGACAATAGGAGTTATGAGCCAGGAACCAATACATGTTATGGACAAAAAACTATACATATATATTTATCATAACATTATAACACAATGTGGCAAGAAGGTCACCAGCCGCTCCAGTCACACATTATGCCAGCTGTGAGATAGGCAGAGAGAGCTCCTCCTTCCTCAGTTTCATTACTGGTATTTATTCTCCTTGCACCATCCTGGGTCATGTCCCTAGGAAGATGGGAGGTATCGGTCACTGGTACAGAGGTGTGAGAGGTGCGTGATCACCTTTATCCAAATCAATTGAACTGACAGTCTGGAGAGTGGATGGCTCCCTCTGAAGAGGAATATCAAGGTGTCTCACCAACAGGGCCAGTGTCCATAGGGCTGTCCAAACAACACATAGCTTCTTCCTTTTGCTTAGATGTCACCGTTTAAGGATGTTCGTGCACAAGGTAGTATTTAGAAATTTAGAAAATAAATCATCTTTCCACATTCAGTGCATCTTTGCTTCCAGTCTGATTTTGATACGGGAGTTCAGAAGAAAGTACCTGGGCAGATAGTGAGGGTAGGGGCATCCTCGGTAAGATTTTCCTTTTAATGTAAAGCAGCCCCCAAATGGCATGTTCAGAATGGCGGCTCCATCTGCCCTTCTCTCTATCAGTCACGTGTAGAGTAAGGAGCAGAGAAGATGGTGTCCTTAGAGTGGAAAGTCTATTTGCATAATAAGATTAGGGTGGGGTGGCCAGCCTTCTCTGCAAGCTATGTAAAGGTCACTCCTGATGGAACCAATGTGTTGGCCCTACATAAATCAGACACCACCTCCTCAAGCTGAAATATAAAATCCAGCTCATCCATCCCAGCCGGCCTTTTCCTCTCGGAATCCCGTCTCTATCACTAGAGAGGGAGCTCTTTTCCTTTCTCTTTCTTTCTCTTTCTTTTGCCTATTAAACC